>NC_000011.10:37938787-38090303 GCF_000001405.40 Homo sapiens | reverse complement strand
GCTGGGCCTCCAGGGGTGACATCACATATTGATCACATATTGGTAGGACCATGATGACCCTGAGCCACAAAACCGGCAAGTTTTTATTAGGGATTTTAAAAGGGGAGGGGGTGTAAGGACAGGGAGTAAGTCACAAAGAACACATGCTCCAAAAGGCAATAAAGATCACAAGGCAAAGGCAAAATTAGAATTACTGAGGAGGGTCTATGTCCCACTGTGCACATATTGTCTTGATAAACATCTTAACAGGAAACAGGGTTTGAGACCAGAGAACCGGTCTGACTAGAATTTACCAGGCTGGAATTTCCCAATCCTAGTAAGCCTGAGGGTACTGCAGACCAGGGCGTATTTCAATCCTTATCTCAACTGCATAATACAGACACTCCCAGAGCAGCTATTTATAGCCCTTCCCCCCAGGAATGCATTCCTTCCCCAGGGTATTCCGCGCTGCGAAAAGAATTCAGTGATATCCTCTTACTTGCACGTCTGTTTATAAGCTCTCTCCAAGAAGAAAAATGTGGCTGTATTCTCCCCGACCCCTGAGGCAGTCAGATCTTATGGTTATCTTACTTTGTTCCCTGAAAATTGCTGTTCTTCCATTTTTTTCAAGGTGTACTGATTTCTTATTGTTCAAACACATGTGTTTTACAATCTGTTTATACAACAGTGGTCCTGAGGTGACGTACATTCTCAGCTTATGAAGATAACGGGATTAAGAGATTAAAGTAAAGACAGGCATAAGAAATTATAAGATTATTATTAGGGAAGTGATAAATGCACATGAAATCTTCACAATTTATGTTCAGAGATTGCAGTAAAGACAGGCATAAGAAATTATAAAAGTATTAATTTTGGGAACTGATAAATGCCCATGAAATCTTCAGAATTTATGTTCTTCTGCCATGGTTCCAGCTGGTGCCTCCATTTGGGGTCCCTGACTTCCTGCAACAACAGCCTCCAGAGTAGTTGGGACTAAAGGTGCTTGCCACCAAACTTGGCTATTTTTAAAATTACTTTCTAGAGAGGGGGTCTTGCTATGTTGCCCAGGCTAGTCTAGAACTCAAGGATCTGATTCTGTGGGAAAATAGTTTACACTTGTATTCCAATACTTTTTGTATTTATTATTTGACTTTAATTTGTCTAGGATTTATTTTTGTCAAGGATTAATCATTCTCATATTTGTTACAATAGACCTTATTAATTTCTGATAAAATGTGTTTTATATATGAGTATTAATTCAAGTTAATATGAAGTTGAGTAAACACAGGGATAAGCTATTTCATTTCAGAAGAATTAAGCTAAGAATAATTGAAAATAAATGTAGACAACTAAGTTAAGCCTGACGAGTGTTTACTGTCACCTCAAATACCTTTTAATTCTTTCTATTGGTATTTTACATTTATTTAAGAGAAGATAAATCATTTAATTCCTAATTTCAATGTGTGGCTTCAAACGTAAATGTCCCTGAACATGGTACCTCATTCATCCCAAGATATAGAATACCTGATAGCAAGTTATCACTATTATTATTATTATTCTTTTTTTTTGAGACAGAGTCTTGTTCTGTCGCAGAGGCTGGAGGCTGGAGAGCAGTGGCATGATCACAGCTCACTGAAGCCTCAACACCTGGCCTTAAGTGTCCTTCCCACCTCAGCCTCCCAAGTAGCTGGGATCACAAGGCATGCACCACAATTCCTGGCTATTTTTTTTTTCTTTTAGTAAACATGAAGTCCTCCTGTGTTGTCCAACCTAGTCTCAAACTCCTGGACTCAAACCATCTTCCCACCTCAGCCTCCCAAAATGCTGGTATTACAGGTGTGAGCTGCCATGCTCAGCCCTGATACCAAATTTTTGGTTGAAAGTAGCTTAAGGCTACTTTCTTTTTAAAAATTTCAACGAAAAATATATGTGCATATTATATATTATGCTATTTAAATTCAAAATTAAATAGGAAACTACTCTTAACCCTACACAGTTGGTCATCTAGAAAGGACTAATGTGCAAAATAATTATTGCATTGCATTGTGAAAATTCTATAAAGAGACCAATGTAGACACTGCAGTAGAAAAACCATATAGAAGCTGGAACTCCAGGTATAAAGCTGGAACTCCAGGACAAATTCACAAAGGATCAGACATTTATTTTCGGACTTGAAAGATAAGTGGAAACAAGCTTGGTACACAAGATTTGGAAACAGATATTCCTGGTGGAGAAAAAAGATCCAAACATTCTAGATATGTTATATTTCTTGTAACTCGAAAGGAAATGATGAATGGTCAGAGTGTAAAGTTCTGCTGGGTTTATAGGTTTTGAAAATCTAATGTGAATAGGGATTTCTGAGCACCTAAAAGTAGAGAATTTATATCAAAACAAGGAGAAAAGATATAGGAGCAAAAATGTAATGTAACAATGAATTTTTATTATGAATCTTAATGTTTCGAAGTTTGCTTTCTGATTTTAGCACACCTACATTTTATATTCTTATTTGTTATATCAAAAACACTTAAGAGGCATATGATACAACCTCAGTTGTTAGACAGAAAAAGTAACCACAGCCTAGAGACTGTCATTGTAAGGACAAAAGAAAAGACAACTGTCTCAAACACAGCATGTGAGATGAGGCTATAAAGAGGTAATGCAGTAAAATAGTATTGATCAAGCTTCAATTCACATATACTAAGAGGTTTAGGATTTTAATCTTTTATTCTAAACAGAAAAACAATTTAAAAAGCCTTGCTTTTGCTTTTAAAAAAGGTAATTAATAACAGCTTAAAATTATACTAATTAGTGTCCTACTGAATGTCATCAGTATCGAAATAAGCTTCCTTAAGAACAACAAGGGAATGGGGAAGAAACAGTAAAGCAATTAACTGGATTTTCTTCTCATTAAGTTCTCATAATTACATTTTCAGGATTAAATGCACTTATGTGAGGGTCCTGCCATTTTCCTCTGGATAGCGAAAAAGACTTTGTTCAGTCTTGGAAAAGTTGAACTCTTCATTAAACATTAACAAATTAAATTAAAGTTCACCTGGAATGGTGAAGAAAATCATAGTCCCTAAAACTCTGTATTTAAATTATTCATGAATATTTTGTTTTCTATCATACTAAATTTCATTTGCCTTTACAAAACAAATAAAAACTAATAAGTCTTATAACTTATTGTTTTTTTTTTTTCTGTTAGGCCACCTGGGATTAGGGAGAATGGTTAATATAAATGAAGTTTTTCAGTCATGTGATAAAGTTAAAGTACATCTTTGATACTTTTTAGTGTGTGTAAATGAAAGTGGCATATTTGAATACTTAAAGTTCAACATTATTCTATTTTGGTTTTCTTAGAAAGTATATTTAGGAAAGTTTAAAAAGACATACAAGCAATCCTCTCCTCCATCTGAGTTTTAGAACAAGTAAGAGACAAATGAGACAAAAACCTAAAGAAATAATGCAAAAGACAATGCTGCCTTCCTTTCTGTTGAAACTGGTATTTGAGAATTTGACGTATAACTCAGGAAAATGTGCTTTCTCGCATAGAAGTCCACTTCATTTACAGCTGGCTCTTTACATTCCTAACACATGTGAGGCAGGAAATGGACCCGAAGTCCTCCACAGTGGAGCTTCTTATACCTGAGAGGAAATAGCAGGTGTAAAGAAAACCTCACACCGCTGATAACATTATGCCATTAAAATTAGGAATCTTATAAAAGAGAACATCCAAAGCATGCCTATAGTTGGTAGAGAATAAATAATGTTTACCTCGGTCTGTATGTTAAAATAATTTGTAAAAATGGGAACTCCGTGGAAGGAGATGATTGCAATTGCTCTAGAATGAGAAATGTTAAAACTATATTTTTAATGTTTTTCCTGCCTCTAAAATCTACTTTCAATAGTAGCTAGAGTTTATTTCTAAAATACCCCTCATTTCAGTTACATTGTTCACCATCCTCCTCATGATAAAATCCAAGTTCTCCTACATAAAATATGTCACCATAATTTGGTTCTTTATCCGTTTTCATGCTCTCCTTTCACTTCCTTTTTACACTTTAAGGTCTAGCCTTATTGAACTTTTATTTTTTAAAAAATGCACTGTGCTTTAACTAATTTTAAAGCTTTTGGCTATGCTATTCCTTGGGGTTAGAATGATGTTCTTTGGTTTATGTATGTGTCTACATTCCATCTGCCCTTTCCAAGTTTAGACATCAATTCTGATTTGAAGCAAGTAAGATATAAACAAAGGGAGGGAAAAGAAGCAAGTACTTTTTTCTTCCCAACTTTGGTTCACTATGTCTCTTACCTATGTTTTTCTGGAACTTTATATTCTTACTAATTTACCTGTCATCTTGTACTATAATACATATTTACTGCTATCCTCTACTGAAGTTTTAAAGCAGCAAAGAATATGTCTATTTTGTTCACCATTTAACTACAGTATTCAGTGTCTGAAATGTAGTCAGCTCTAAATAAAAATTTGCAATGAGTGAGAGATTGAAGAAATACTTCATAAATAATTGAAGCAAGAAGCAGGAATTTTTACAGGAGAAAAGTGATCTTGTAATATAACTAAAATGACATTTTAAATCACTTTTTTAAAAAACACTTGTTTCAAAGCACTAAAACAATTTTTTCCAATATTTTATATTTAAGACATGAGCATCCATGAATAAATACATGCCATCTGATGGATTGAACTGGTAAAAAATTGGAACCTAGCATCAGGGCTACTCAGAGAAATGTGGCAGTCCCAAGGAAGGGTGGAGGTATTCGCCTTTAGGTTTTCCAAAGAAGATTTACCTAGCAATCAAAATCCATAAGGTAATACATTATTTGCTTGGATGTATCAATTGCTTGTAATGAAATGCTGTGGCAGTTTAAAATAATTTTATATAAAATCATCAACAGGTTAAATGCCTTTGGAATTTGTAACAGGCATTCAGGGAAACTCTCAGGGCAGGTTACAGAAATCCAGCCATTTTGGGGATATAATGGCAGAGACCCAAGCTATAGATAGACTGAAGCAGGAAGCAGATTCTAAAGACAGTCATTCAGAGAAGATAAAAGAGAAATTTTAATTAGCAGCACAAGTATACATGGTGGAGCCTGGGACTCAAGAGCTTGGCAGAAACAATTTATCTCAACGTGGGCATAAGAACAGAGCAGGTCCGGACAGGGCATGGTGGCTCAGGCCTGTAATACACCACTTTGGGAGGTGGAGGTGGTTGGATCACCTGAGGTCGGGAGTTTGAGACCAGCCTGACCAACATGGAGAAACCCCGTGTCTACTAAAAATACAAAATTAGCTGGGTGTGATGGTGCATGCCTGTAATCCCAGCCACTAGGGAGGCTAAGGCAGGAGAATCACTTGAACCCGGTGGCGGAGGTTGCGGTGAGCCGAGATCGCGCCACTGCACTCCAGCCTGGGCAACAAGAGTGAAACTCCGTCTAAAAAAAAAAAAAAAGGGAAAAGGAAAAAGAATAGAACAGGTCTCAGATGTGGAAAAAAAATGGACAGGGACAAAAAGAAGAGGAACGAAAAGCCAATTTTCAAATGGGATCTTGAAGCACACAGAAATACATACCTTTCCATCACATGTACAGAATATCTGTGACTAGTTGATTGCAACAATAAGCTTCAGTGTATTTTCACATTTTAATACTCAGCTATACCTATTTAACCGCTCTGCATTCCTTCAATATCTCTACTCGTTTCTTCCCCATTTAATTTTATCCTTGACAATCATTTAAACCAGATCTCAATTGTATGAATAAGTTATTCTCAACTAGTGGTGATTTTCTCTCTCCTGCAAAAGGACAAAAATCTCAGAATTTTGGCTTGTCACTCTGGGGTGCTGGTGCTCCTGACATTCAGTGGATACATGTCAGAGATGCTTCTACGTATCCTGTGAAGCACAGGACAGTGATACCATGATAAAAGGTGTTCGCTTCCAAATGTCCAAATTTCTGAGGCTGAGAAACCCTGCTGTAGATAATGAAGAGTGAATATCCTAGCAACCATTGTCCTTGAATTTCAATCCCATGCCCATGGAATAAATGGTCTCATATTGAAAATAATCTGAAAAATAAGAGGAAGAGAGGTCACTTGAGAACAGTGCTTCAGGGTAATGCTTATAAAGCTCTAAATTAATCGAATTCTTGAGTTTAGCATAAAAATCCTCAAATTAAAGACCTATTAGAAAAGAGAATTTGAGTCAGGTATGTTCCTGCCATATCTTCATTGCCTCTCAAAATGGTAAATTTCTTTCCAGAGGGAATAGCTGATAATTTCACTAGATAAAAGGTTTTGTCATATTATGCCAGTATCAAAAAAAAAAAAAAGAGAACAAAGCACAGTGGTAATAAAACAATAAAATATAGAAGAAAAGCATAAATAAGTATAATAAAAAGAGGATTACACTCATCTGTGTGGATCAAAAATCATCTGCCTGATGCTGATGTTTGCATTATGCCAGCTGGAATTTTCAGACAAATTGCTGCATCTTTCACAGATTAAACTAATGCTCCTGACTGAACGAATGCAGTTTAATGCTAGGGCATACAATGTAGAAATACTTAGACTATGGAAATCAGACAGATGACTTGGTAAATTAATCCATAAGCAGCATGCCATAAGGTTAGTCAATGACAGTGATGTAAGAGTGTGGTTGATAGGAATAATCATAGGAAATGTGAAGGTGAAAAAGATCATGAAGGGGGAATGGAGAAGCCACTTTAATTTTTGTCATAAAGCCTCTTTATATATCATCATTTTAAATGCACTTCTTTAAAACAAAGAGTGGCTGAAGGGAAGAAGAATTTAATTATTCATAAATAAACAAGTGGAAATTTTGTGACAATAGAATCTATTGCTCCAAGCACCTTATCAGAGTTAAAAGCAAAGGGTTATTATAAAGATTATATATAAATTAATACTCCTATTATAATTGTTAGTATAAATTTATGTGGGACTTCATTTTGAATTCTCATGTAATTCATTGCCATGTTTTTTCACAGTTTCAATAGTTTTTTATGATTAAGAATATCTTATTTAAAAATTACAACATAAAACACATGCAAGTCCTAACATATAAAGACTTCTGTTTTAGAATTATATTTATTTGGGAAAGATGAGAAATAGAAATGTATTTGTAATTACATATTCTAAAACAAGTTCCCATGGGATGTTTTCTATTTTATAAATTAAATATGAAGTGAATCAATCTTCTATGTATAAAAAGAGAAGTATCAGCCTTAAAGATTAGAAGAAGGTTGAAAATACAATCTGAAATAGCAATTATGGATAATGTGAGAATGAGATGGCTCGGCTAAGGTATTATGAGCCAGGTAGTATTGAGCACTTATATGAGGCTAGTGGTCATGGGACTAAGCATAGGACCAACATGCTCAATTGTGTGATTGTCTCTATCTATGCTGAACAGTCAGTCAGCAACCAGGGTCAATAAACATGGATACCCTTGGGACTAGAGTTTCATCCTGATAGGCAATGAAGGAAAACCAATAACAAATTTAGTGGATAATATTGTCAAAACAGAGTTTTTTTGTGATAATATACATATCTAGGAAAGGTAGCACTGGAGAGAAAAGTAGAGGAATCAATGGATAAGTAGAGCTTATTAAACTTTAGAATTAGAATGGTGGCAATATAAGCAAGTAAGCAAGAAAAGTAAAAGGTTATGCCCAGAAACAGAATTTCTAAGTTTGGCTTTGGAAAATAAATTATTTCACATCATGAGAAAGTATACAGTAAAGTTATAGTGGTTGGCAACAGAAGTGGAATGAAAAATAAGATGTATAAAATAATAGGTCATAGGCCTGGCAGATCAGAGTATTTATGTGGAGTCTGCATGGAGCTTGTGATGAGTAAAATGGAAAGTCATGTTCAAAATCTTCAGTTAATAATTGAGTTGATCACAGAAGTCAATAAACAAAATAGGAGTGATAGAGCAGATAGTAAAATCATCCAAAAGAATGTGGATTTTTATTATTATTGCAGTGGGATTGAGAAATGAGGAGGAGACCTACCCTACCTCCCAAATTTAGGTTGTGTGAAATGTGGAAACATGAGCAGTCATCTCTGGACATATAATATTTATGGGAAAGCCAGGTTTGAATAAAGACCAAGATGTTGAGTGAGGCATTTAAGGTTAGAGGAGAATTTCACTTGGCAAAACAAACATATATTTTTTAGCACAGACGGGAGGTTTGGTTCAGGTGAGAAATAGGTATTAAGAAACTAATGTCTAAAAATATAAAAATTTCAGACTAGATTAAAGTAGTTACTCTGGGATTAATGAAAAATTTATTTATGATATTTCCTATTATTATTATTACTTTTTACTGAAGTCCACTCCCTTCAGACACTTGCAGCCTGTTTTCCTAGTCTAAGGCATTGTCTGTGCTGTACTGCAAGAGTTAATGGCAAACTGAAAAACAAAAGAGTTATCTTAATATTGTCTGCAGTATCCCTTGTGAATAAGTAAGGGTTCTTTTGATGGCAATATAAACCAATGTTTATTAATTAAAATGATAAATACCTTGAAAGAAATATGATATATATAGGGAAGAAACTTATGCAATCATGAGCCAGAAAGGACAGGAATTAGAGTAATTCAGGGACTTTCACATTAGTGGTTTTGCTGTAGAACATTATATGAAAGTCCACTAGCTTTAAATCCTTGTAAGTTCTAGGCTATCTGCAGAGAGATAGAAGAATTTTATTTATTCAGGAAATTAATACTTGCATGTATGTGTTTGTATTCTCTTTTGCTTGAACCAATTCAGTGAATTGCTCCATATTTTGGTAAATCTTCATCTAAATCACGATTAATGATGATTCTAGAACATTTTGTTGCAAAGAAAAATAGTGCATCACAATCCACCTTACTTCTAAGGAGAAAACAAAAATATTACTTTTCTCATCACCAAAGGAGACTGAAATACCTATGAAGGTTTATTTATAATTTTCATCAACTCCTGTTCACATTTCTTATGTCGGTGACTGACATTATTTGAATTTTCAAGTTACTCAATCAAAACAAATTATCCCTTGAAAACCTGTGTATATAGAAATTGTTACTGCCATTGTTGATTTCATTAAACATTTGATAATTTTTTATTAGGCATTTATATTTCAAGTCTTCTAGGTGCTGAGAATAATGGCTTAAAAAGATAAATCTATCTCCTCTTTTGTTGATTGCATTTTGTGGGAAGAGGAAGAATACAAACAAAATAGATAACTAAAATATTTGGTATATTAGATAGTGCTAATGGCAGCCAAGGGAATCAAAGCAGGAAAGGAGATTAGGGAGTCAATTGTTGGGTGATTATATTTTTTTATGGATGGTCAGAGAAGATTTCATAGAGAGGTTAACATGTGAGAAAAAAATCTGAAGAAGATGAGAGGATAAGAAGTGTGGATACATTAAAGAAGAGCTGTTCAGGTAGTGTCTTGAGGCAGCAACACATCTGGATTGTTCAAGGTGAACAAAAATACTCATGTATTTTTGCTGTAGAAGACAGAGCTGTAGGAAGATTAAATAGGAGTAGTAATGGAGGGTCTGACATTGGAGAGGATCTGGTCAGCCCCTGTAAAGATGTGTTTTTACCCTGAATAACATAAGAACCCTTTGCAGGATTGGGGCAAAAGAATGGCTCTGTCTGACATGAGTTTGCACAAAATCATTTTAGTGCAGTTCTTTATAAAGAAAAAAACATCTATCATGATCTTTCTGTATTTGTGTAGCTTCCAGATAATGGAAACATTTTCAGGAAGAAAAAAAAAAGCTGACAAGAGTTGGAAAGGAGTAAAATTAAATCAAATTTGTAGTTGAATTTAATTATAAATTAGTATTTAATTATCAAGTATACATTGAATAAGCAATTATAAAGTTCAAACATAATGGTCATTATGGAAAACTCATAGATGTTGAATAATATATATCCTAGATTCCAAAAATAATGAAATGTATTGACATTATTAAAAATAGCACCAAATCATCTATTATTAAAAATTTATTCTGATGTACATAACATGGCCTCTAACATTAGAAAACCTTAATTTGGAATTCCTGTTCTAATACTGTGGCAGGTAATGCAGTTACATATTCAACAATTCTTCTCTCAATTATTGTGTGCTTACAAAGCCTGCTTTTTGTGATTAAGGCAGAGTCAAAGCTTTACTTTTCCAGATTCACTTCCAACTAGGAGTAGCCACATTCCCTAGTGTTAAGCAATGAAATGTAAGAATTGATTTTTTCTATTGGGAACCAAGGAAATATTTTCTCCATCATAAAGAAGTTAATAATATTGCTCTCTTGTTATCCAGAAATCCTAATGCTTCCTGTCTTAGAAATAGGACCTGATAATAGAAACAGCTGTAACATGTCATGGGGGCAACAACCCTGAATAAAATAACTAACTACTGAGAAAGGCATTATGTAAAGCTGTCTCCAGCTTGACTTTGACAGCATCATGAGCTGCTCCATTAATCCTAAACTGCCTACCTACAGACTTTACAGATGTGAGCTAATACCTTATTACTTAAGGCAATAACATTCAGATATTTTTATTTGAAGCTCAAAAACATCCCTAACCAATACAACTACTTACCTATGTAAAACATGTGACTACATTTAACCTCAATGATGGATGATAACTTCACACGTTCTCATTGAAAAATGTGGACGAGAATATTTAGGGAACATTTTTGTGGCATGGATTAAATGACAATATCGAAGTGAAGTGTACACTCAAAATTATTCTCCAATATAGTTGTTTCCCTGCAGTTAGTGAAAATGCTGTTTCTGTTTAATTTTTCCAGTTAATTTGTGTGAAATACAATGACTAAAATAGTGCATAGACAACATAGATCCCCCTGATTAATCATGTCCAACATGCTCTTTGGCGAATATGTGTGTGTGTGTGTGTGTGTGTGTATAATACATATATACATTTAATATATATGTTATAAATATACACTTCATGTATTGTTATAAATATATACTTCATATATATTTTATAAATAGATATGTAATTCATATATATTTTATAAAAGTACACACCATATATATTTTATAAATATATACACTTCATATATATTTTATCTATATATACTTCATATCTATTTTATAAATGTATATACTTCATATATTTTATAAATGTATATATTTCATATATATTTTATAAATATATATACTTCATACATATTTGTATATATACTTCATACATATTTATAAATATATATACTTCATATATATTCATAAATATAGATACTTCATATATATTCATAAATATAGATACTTCATATATATTCATAAATATAGATACTTCATATATATTCATAAATATAGATACTTCATATATATTTATAAATATAGATACTTCATATATATTTATATAGATACTTCATATATATTTATAAATATAGATACTTCATATATATTTATAAATATAGATACTTCATATATATTTTATAAAGTACATACACTTCATACATATTTTATGAATAACTACATGTCATATATTTTTATAAATACATACATTTCATATATGTTTATGAAATTATATATTCTTTGATATTGATGAAGATGAAGACAAGAAGTAGAAAAAAGTAAGAGGAGATAAAGCTAAAGAAGAGAGGAAGAAGAAGAGGAATAGATGAAGGAAAATAAGAGGTAGAGGGTGAGGGAGAAAATAGAATCAAAGCATTTCTGGATACAAATCACTTGGAGCTTGTACTTATATACTGTGTGAAGTCAGAGCAAAACTACAGAATACTTGGAATTGCTTTTTAAACTGTAATATTTAGTATAAATATGGATGGAAACTGACAAGGAATACTTAGAAATACTTGTTTTCTTTTTTAATTACAAAAGATATGCTTATTCTCAGTTTTGCCAAATTCCTCATTAAAAAAAATTCAAGATCAATTTTTCTTTTTTTTTTTTTTTTTTTTTTTGAGACGGAGTCTCGCTCTGTCGCCCAGGCTGGAGTGCAGTGGCGGGATCTCGGCTCACTGGAGGCTCCGCCTCCCGGGTTCACGCCATTCTCCTGCCTCAGCCTCCCAAGTAGCTGGGACTACAGGCGCCCGCCACTACGCCCGGCTAGTTTTTTTGTATTTTTAGTAGAGACGGGGTTTCACCGTTTTAGCCGGGATGGTCTCGATCTCCTGACCTCGTGATCCGCCCGCCTCGGCCTCCCAAAGTGCTGGGATTACAGGCGTGAGCCACCGCGCCCGGCCCAAAAAAAATTCAAGATCAATTTTTCTAAGTGCCTTAAGAGAATATCATGTTGCTGAGCTGAATTCACATAGACTATTTCCCATATACCTTATATAGCAATTTTTGATTGATTATACATATATTAATACATTTAACAATTTACTTCATCTTGTGTATTGAATTTTAAAGTTCCTAATATATATTCTTTTAAATTTTATAGTTGAGAAATAGTATTGACTCCTATTTTTCTTCACCTAAGATGTAGAAGATTGTAGCAAAAATCTTATTTTAATTTTTATTTTTTAAATTGACAAATATTGTATATACTTGCCATGTACAACATGTTTTGAAGTATATCTGCCTCATGAAATGGTTAAATCTAGTTAATGAAGAAATCCATCACCTCATATAATTATCATTTTTGTGTTGAGAGCACTTAACATCCACTCTCCTTGTATTTTTCAAGAATACATTATATCATTTTTAACTTCAGTCACTTTGCTGTACAATAGATCTCTCAAATTTATTCCTCCAATCTAACTGTAATTATATATCCTTTGAGCACCATCCCCCCATCCTGTCCTTCCCCCTAAGTACTCCAGTCTTTCATAATCACCTTTCTATTTTCTACTTCTATGAATTCAACTTTTTTAGATTCCACATATGATTGACATCAAGTGGTATTTGCCTTTCTGTGCCTGGCTTATTTAACTTAACATGATGTCCTCCATGTTCCTAAAAAATATTCAACTTCACTACTCATGAAGAAAATTTAAGTCAGATCTAAAATGTGATGCCACCTCACTCCAGTAGTAATGGTTATTATCAAAAAGACAAAAGATAAGTGTTGGCAAGGATGTGGAGAAAAGGGAACCATACACACTGTTGGTGAAAATGTAAATTAGTGTAGCCATTATAGAAAACAGGATAGAGGTTTCTAAAAAAATTAAGAAATAGAACTATCATATGATCCAACAATGCCACTACTGGGTACATATCCAAAGAAAACAAAATCGGTATGTCAAAGAGATATTTGCACTCTCATGTTAATTTCAACGCTATTCACAATAACCAAGATCACAATAACCAATAATCAGCCTGGTTCATCAACAGATAAATCCATAAAGAAAATGTGGTATATATACACAATGGAATACTATTCAGCCATTAAAAAACAAGCAATAGTCTTACAAGTAGAGCAAATGGCTCTTTTCTTTCCCAGGAAATGTCTTGAATAAGGCAAAACCTAAGATTCTTGCACTAATTTCCATGTGCTATCTGCACATTGCCTAGTGTCTGGATCATAGTAGGCACTTTCCTGATAACAACCTTGTAATAACTTTTGATGCAAACCCAGTCACTCCAGCATTTAGTAACTTAAAGAGAAAATATTTATTATTGTTCACTAGTCTGTTGGTTGCTGAGGGTTCTTTTCTGGTCTAGGCCAGCTTGATTGGGACTGGATGTTTCAAAGTAGCCTTACACAATGTCTGGTGATTGGCTTAATGACAGCTAGGTGGAGGCATGACTTAGCCACATGTGTCTTGTTCTTCCAGGTAGCCTGGGTTGTTAATGTGAAGTTCTTAAAAGCAGCCAGAGAACAAGCTCTACCCAATGCGTGAGCACTTTCTATACCTCTGTTTGCATCATATTTGCTAATGGCTCATGACCAACTCAGATTCCAAACTCAAAGAATGTTTCTCTAAAACATATGATGTAAAAATACATATTTTATCCTGAATTATATCTGAACTACTAATACTCTGAAGAGTCTACCTTTTTTACACTGATACTGCCTTAAATGAGCTCCATTTAATTTTATAGTTAAAAGAACACAAAAACAATCAAAATACAAACTCTACATTTGAAATGTTGACTCAGTGTAGAGACACTTCCTTAAGATTTATCTCTGAGCAGCATTATTTTTAATGTACCCCCTTATCAATGATTTAGAGGGAAACTGATAATCAGAAACTACCAAATTCCAGATTCCAGGTCCAAGATTATAAATGACTATGAAATATTTTTTAAAAGACCAGAATTGGTGAAATCTTTATCTTGGTTAACTTTATTTCATGAGAGCATGGTGCATTAAACTAATGTAAGAAAATCTATCATTTATGACATCTTTTGATCTTATACGTCTTTGCAATTACATACATGGATTTCAATTGATTCCATTATATAGGAGCAGAAAATTTTCCTTGCATAAATTCAGTTCTCTAAACCAGAAACTGAAATAGAAACAAAAATATTTTTTGTCTCTATTGACATTGCTTTTGTTCACGATTCATGCAATACCCATGAAATATTCATCATATCTATACATAATGATTTTATAATTTAGAAGTCATTATACAGTAATTGAAAATATGTAATGTAGCTTCAATTAACAAAATATTATTATTTAATGAAATGACAGAAAAACCCAGGTTATGACTAGAAAAAATTGAAAGATTTACAAACATAAAAATTAAATTTTCTGAATGGAAGGACACTACTGACAGATTCCAAATGCAAAGATAGAGCAATAGAAAATCTACAATAAAAATAACTAAGAATATAGAAAATTAATGTTTGCAATATAAAGAGAGCTCTTGTGTATTGGTATTTTAAAAAGCGTAAAGAAATAAATAACCAAAGCATAAGAAACAAACCTATAAACAATACCCAGCAAACCTGGCCAAATAGCATAAACTGTCATTAAAAAACAAACAAACAAAGAAACAAAAAAACAGAAATGTAAAAGGCAAAAGAAAAATATGTTAGAAAATGTTCAACTTCACTAGGAGTTATGAAAAGACAAATGAAAGCATCTTTAAGACAATTTTTCATTCTTTTGTTTGGCAAATAGTAAAATCCATTTTAATATATCCAATGCTGATTACATTGATGGAAAATAGGTACTTTCATGAAATCCTGGTGGGCTATGCATATAGACTCTTTGTTGGAAATATGCTGAAAGTATTGATCAAAAGTCAATGACAAATACAAAGCTTGGCTTTTTGCTGGAGAAACTTAAAATACACAAATACTCTCTCCTTAATCTCGAAAAGCTATATAGAAACAAATAGTGAAAATCTGTATAAAATCATCAGAAAGCTGCTGAAGTAATAGGTTAGACAGACAAAGATTTCAGAAAGAGATAACCATGGAGAAATGAACTTATTCCTGGAACTATATTCTATATTGTAGAGGCCTTTTCTGATTCTGAACATTATGAGTATCTGTGTCTGGTTTCAGAAAATAGCTACTTCTGGGGAACCTCCTGAAATATTGGTGTTCTAATCAGGCTAGAGAGACAAAATTGGAGCATCAGTGGTCAACATCTAAGAGAAAAGGAAATAGTGTATAACTGATCCTGACACATAGCCAATTCTCTCCTTAAGACATTGGCTGTAATCTGCAGCTGCCCAGAAAAGACAATAAAATGTTAAGCTAAAACCATATGGAAAAGTGAAGTAAAGATTTTAGCAGTTTCATCAAGCCAGGAAGACAAAATATTAATGTTCACGACTTGCCAGGAAAAGGATTGTTATAAATAAACTAGATTCTTGGTTGGAATCTCTAGAAACCTTTGTTCTAAGAACAAACTTAAAATAATTATTTTTTTAATACTACCTTACTTATATGGCCTCATCTTGGAATTAGTCAATGAGAAAAAATCCCATGAGATTTGAAAGACAGTTGAGAAGTAGAGGTCCCTGACTTTTTGATCTTTCGATCAGGAGGACAGTAGGAGTGACAGATTTAGTGACTTCTAAAGACTTGGCAGAATCCACTAACATGATGGCTTCCATTGTGGGGCAACCTCTGCCAGTGGGACATCTTTCTTAGACATGGCACAATAATAGAATACATTGAATGATGTCAAAACTTCCTTAGTATTACATAGAAAAAGTAAAGCTTTGGGAAATAGAAATGCTAGTGTAGGTTTATTGTGGATACCCTGCTTACATACTTCCTCATTATGTACAACAGAGGGCCTAGAGAATACTCACTTTAAATAGGCTTCTAGAAATGTATTGATGAGAGATTAATAGTATCTTTGAAAGGCTGTTTTGTGCCTGTAATCTGTGGTCCAGGAATCACAGTGGGAAATGCTGCCATCAAAATAAATCTTCTGACCATCATCCCTCAATAGGAATGATGAGATCCCAGCATGGCAGGGGCCAGACGTTGGCATCTAACAACCAGAGAAAAGATGGTCACGATGACCATAATAAGCATAATGAGCATAAGGGTAATGGCAGTTAGAGTTTGACATACAGAAATCTTTGATTCTGAATAAGGGAACATAATTAAATATGAAAGAAATGGGCAACCTATTAATGTCTTACTTGATTTAAAAAACAAAACAAATTATCTTAGGTCTGGTGAACTTAAATTGCTGTATTAGAGGGTCATGGTCCCTCACTGTATTCTGCAATTTAATCAGTTCAAGATCCAGGGCAGTGTGAATGCAGGAGAGGCAGGATTCTCCTGAGGAAGAACACTGTTACACCATCCTTCATTCTATGGTTATTTTACAAGTTCCAGAATGTACTGTGGGAGTCAACATATTTATCAACTGACCAATTTCCACATGGCTTACTGACTTAGAAATAACAGGTATTATGGTAGAAAGGGCCAAATGAAAGTTCTTTAAACTCTCTCTACCTGCTCAAAGCAATACCGCATTCCTGGAGGAATGCTCCTTAAAAATTAAAGATTACAAAAGTAGTAATCTTTATTATATCCCTCTTTAACACCTCTGATTGGCCTGGGTAGAAACAGGTGAATCTTGGAGAAAGAGTCAATTAAAGTAAACTTAATGAGATAATTTATCCATTGTAGCTGCTGTTCCAGAAGTAATTTTTCTGTTGACCTCATATGGCATCTGGTATAGAACCATTGATCCGGTGTGTGTTTTTTGTTTGTTGGTTTCCTACCCGTTACTAAAGAATACCAATTCAACTTTCTTTCATCACCTTATCATAGGGCTGAAAAACCATTAAGTATTTCACATAAAACTTCTTTACCATCTTATCACAGGGCTATATCAATTCTCCAGCCTTTCATTACAAATTAGCCTGTAGGGATATTGTTCATCTTTCATCCCACAGGATAAAGTGTTGATCTTCTATATTGACATATCATACTGATTAGATATTGGTGAGACACATGTATGACAAAGTTTGAGAAGAAAAATTTTTTACAGTTAAATTACCTGAAACTTTGGTGAAATACCAAGGGTCAAACAGTTTAGAACACAGTAAGGTAATCTTTCCAAGTTAAAGGACAAATTGTCAGTTAAAACTGACATCCACTATCACTACAAAAAGAAAAGAAAAAAAAACAACATAGCTACTAGAGGGCCTCTTTGTATTTTGGAGGAAACATATATTTCATTGTTGCATGCTGCTTAAAACTGTTCACTGAATTATGTGAAAGGGACCAAGAACAATAAAGGGCTTTTCAACTGATTCAGGCTGCTGTGAAAGCTGCTCTGTCACTTCAGCCATATGTTTCAGACAATCCCATGGTACTTAAAATGCTTATGGCAGATAAAGATGTTGAAATTGATAATTTGACATATTCCAATAGAGCCTAATAAAATATTTGAAGCAGAATAATATTGCAATGATGGAGCATAAATTACTTTCAATTCTATCATAAAAGTTAAAAGACAAAAGGATTAAAAATAACTATATCTACAAATATTTAGTAATAGATTCATGATATTTAAAATATGTAAATAGCGATATAAATTACATAAAATATGAAAGTAGAGAAAGTTGAAATATAGAGGTTTTGTATGCAAAGTTAAGTTTAAAGTAGTCTATCAATAAGATGTTTTATTTAGCCTGTTGATAAGCATACACACACACATAAAATCAGTAGTGGATACACAAAAGATAAAAAGAAAGGAATCAAAGGATACCACTAGATAAAAATATCTACTTTCTGCCGGGAGCGGTGGCTCACGCTGTAATCTCGGCACTTTGGGAGGCCGAGGCGGGTGGATCGTGAGGTCACGAGATTGAGACCATCCTGGCTAACACTGTGAAACCTTGTCTCTACTAAAAATACAAAAAATTAGCCGGGCTTGGTGGCAGGCACTTGTAGTCCCAGCTACTCGGGAGGCTGAGGCAGGAGAATGGCGTGAACCTGGGAGGCAGAGCTTGCAGTCAGCCGAGATTGCGTCACTGCACTCCAGCCTGGGCGACAGAGCAAGACTCCATCTCAAAAAAAAAAAAAAAAACAAAAAAAAACAAAAAAAAAACCCTACTAAGAAAGAAAGAAAGGAAAGAAAGAAGGAAGGAAGAAAGGAAAGAAAGAAAGAAAGAAATGAACGAAGGAACTATAAAACCGTCAGAAAAAAATTAACAAAATGTCAATAGTAAGTTATTACCTATTAATAATTCACTAAATATAAATGGACTAAATTATCCACTCAAAAGACAAATAGTGGCTGAATGGATTTAAAAAAAAGTATCATTTAACTGTATGCTTCCTAAAAGAGACTCACTTTAGATTTTAAGACATACATATGCTGAAAGTGAAGGATGGAAGAAGCTAGTCTATTCAAATCATAACCAAGAAAAGCAAAGTTGTCTATACTTTTGTAAGACAAAATAGACTTTAAAGATAAAACCAGCACAAAAGACAAAAAGGGCAATTATATAATAATAAATGAGTCAATTCATTAAGCGAGACCAGCCTGGGCAACACAGTGAAACCCCATCTCTACTAAAATACAAAAAATTAACCTGGCGTGGCAGCGTGCACCTGTAATCCCAGCTACTCAGGAGGCTGAGACCCGAGAATCCCTTGAACCCAGTAGGCAGAGGTTGCAGTGAGCCGAGATCGCACCATTGCACTCCAGCCTGGTTGACAGAGTGAGAGTCTGTCTCAAAAAAAAAAAAAAAAAAAAAAAAAAAGGAGAGAATATTATAATTGCCTATGTATATCTATTCAAAATGGAAACACCTAAATATATAAAGCAAATATTGATAGAATTGAAGGGAGAAATACACAGCAATACAATTGTAGTAGGGGACTTAGATGCCTAATCTTTAGCAATGCATATATCATCGGGACAGAAGATTTATAAGAAAATAGCAGACCTGAACAGCACTAGAGACCAAATGGACCTAACAGACCTATACAGAATATTTCCTCCAACAGCAGCAGAATACACATTCTTTTAAAGAACACAGGGAACATTCTCCAGGAGAGATTATATATTAGGCCACAAAACAAGGCTTACCAAATTCGGTAAGTTTGAAATTATATCAAATATCTTTTTTAAACACAATGATATGAAACTAAAATTAATAACAGAAAGAAAATATGAAAATTAAAAGTATGGGGAAATTAAACAACACATTCCAAAACAACAAATAGGTCAAAAAAGAAATCAAAAATGAAGTAAAAAAATATATTGAAACAAACATAAATAGAACCCCAATATACCAAAACTTATGGGATATAGTAAAAGCAATTATAAGAGGAAATCTATAGTGAGATATGCCTACATTCAGAATGAAGATCTCAAATTAAGAACCTAACTTTACACACCTCAAGGAACTAGGAAAAGAAGAATAAACTAAGTCCCAAGTCAGAAAAAGGAAAGAAAGAATAAAGATTAGAGACAAAATAAGCAAAATAAAGAGAAAAGTAACAATAGAAGAGATCAATAAAACTAGGTTGGTTTTTCAAAAAGATAAACAAAAGTCACAAACCTTTAGCTAAACTATGATAATCAAAACAGAGAAAATAAATAAAATCAGAAATGAAAGAGGAGATATAACCACTGATACCACAGGAATACAAAGGACCATAAGAAAATACTACAAACCATTACACCCCAACAAATTAGATAATTTAGAAGAAATGGATAATTTTCTAGAAAAGTATAATTTACCAAGATTAATTCATTAAATAATAGATCTGAACAGATAAATAATGATAAATTAGATTGAATCAATAATCAAAAATATTTTGAAAAAAAGCTCAGAACCTGATGGCTTCATTGGTAAATTCTACTGAGCATTTAGAAAAGAACCCCAATTCTTTACAAATTCTTCAAAAAAATTAAAGACTTTGGAAGTGTTACTCCTATACTTACTATATACTTACTTATTGCTAACCAAACTACTTACTATAAGTAGCTGGAAGTGTTTACTCCTCTTTAATTTTTTGGAAGAACATTACTCTATATCAAAGCCAGACAATATCACTACAAGAAGAGAAAATTAAAGACTAATGTCCCTGTTTAACATAGATGCAAAATTCTCAACAAAATGCTAACAAACATAGTTCAAAAGCATATTTAAAAAACCATACACTATGAATAAGTGAGAAATAATCCCTTGGATGCAAGGATCATTCAACATACAAAAGTCTATATATGTGATATACCATATTAAAAGAATGAAGGATAGACATCATATGGTCATTACAATAAATGCAGAAAAAGCATTTGACAACATTTAATGTCCTTTCATGATGAAAACTTTCATAAAATTAGGTATATAAAAATTTACTTCAACATAATAACGGCCATATATAACAAGCCTACAGTTAACATCATTCTCAAGTGTGAAAAGCAGAAACTTTTTTCACTGTAATTAGAAATATGACAAGAATGCCCGTGCTCACTACTTCTATTTAACAGAGTACTGAAATTCCTAGCCGGAAAATTAGACAAGAAAAAGAAATAAAAGGCATCTAAACTGAAAAAAGGGGTTAAATTATCTTTACAGGTGACATGACATGACAGGTATACTTTAAAAAGCTCAACATCACTAATTATCAGGGAAATGCACATTAAAACCACAAGATATCACCTTATACCTGTTAGAATAGCTATTATTAAAAAGGCAAAAGATAAGTATTGGCAAGAATGTGAAGAAAAGGCAACCATGTACACTATTGATGTGAATATAAATTGGTACAACCACTATGGAAAACAGTATGAGAATTACTCACTAAATTAAAAATAGAGCTAGTATATGATCCAGCAATTTTACTTCTGGGTATATATCCAAAGAAAATAGAATCAGTGTTGAAGATACATTTGTACTCCTATATTCAGTGTTGAAGATATATTTGTACTCCTATATTAATTGCAGTATTATTCACAACAGCCAAGCTATGGAATCAACCTAAATGCCCAATGGAGGACAAATAAGTGAAGAAAATGTGGTAGATATGCACAATGGAATACTATTCAGCCTTAGAAAATAAGGAAGTCCTGTTGTTTGCGAAAATGTGGATGAATCTGCAGGCCACTCTGCTAAGTAAAATAAGCAGAAGAACAGAAAGTCAAATCCTACAGGTTCTCAATTACACATAGAATCAAAATATTCAACCTGTAGAAACAGATAACAGAATGGTAAACGGAGGCTAGAATAACCAGGAAATGGGAAGATGGTGGTCAGAGGTTACAGTGTTCCAGTTAGACAGGAGCAATATGTTTTGGAGATCTATTGTACAACATGGTGACTGTAGTTAATAATAATATATTGTATACTTGAAAATTGCTAAGATAATAGATTTTAAATGTTTTTGTGAGGTGATGGATATGCTGATTAGGTTGATTTAGTCATTCTACAATGTATACATATATCAGAGCATCACAGTGTCTAAATACATAAAAAATTGTCAATTTAAAAATAATAAACAAATATACAAATGACACTTGAACCTTTCAAAAGTGGATGGCTGGGATGGCTATAGCATAGCGGCCCCATTCAAGAGTAGCTATAGAAGACAGTAATGAAGAGAACATTTTCCAGTGGGCAAAAATCTGAGAGGTATACTTGGTAGTCATTTTCCCTAAAAGGGGAGATGGCCAGAGACACTAACCTACAGTGATTCATAGGAGTCTTTAGCAGTTGGTCTGAGGGTTAATGACTTGAAAAGAACAAAGTTGAAAAGGATCAAGGAGATTGGTGGAATAAATATTTTGGGTGAACTTCCCTAAATGGGCATAAAATGTGAGAATATTTGTATCTACTACAAAAATCCACTAAAGATAGCCTTAGTACAAGAGATTATCAAAAATTACATGGAAAAAAATGTCTGATGACTCTGTTGATGTCAGTGACCACTTTCCTTAGATGCCTTTATTTTTTTTATTTTTTATTTTTTTGAGATGCAGTCTTGCTGTGTCACCAGGCTAGAGTGCTGCGGTGTGATCTCAGTTCACTGCAACCTCCACCTCCTGGGTTCAAGTGATTCTGCTGTCTCAGCCTCCCTAGTAGCTGGGATTACAGGCGCGTGCCACCATGCCCAGCTAATTTTTTGTATTTTTCGTAGAGACGGGATTTCACCATGTTGGCTAGGATGATCTCGATCTCCTGACCTCATGATACGCCTGTCTTGGCCTTCCAAAGTGCTGGGATTACAGGCGTGAGCCACCACGCTCGGCCAGATCCCTTTATCTTTAATGAGTGAACTCATTGTGGCAAGTATGAAAGTTATCGTGAGCTAAGCTACACAGCATGTTACTTACCAAAGTTGATCTGACTACAAACCTTCAGTGCTAATTTATCAACAGCAGAGAATAACACTGAGACCCAGACATAGCATAATTTCTCCACAGACCATATAGATACCTAAAAGACCATGTAGATACCTGAAAGAGATCTATTTGTGCTTTCTGGAATAGACACATCCTAATGCTTCTGCCCAACCTATCCTCTGGAGACTTACAGAGCACCTTCTTTCTTTTCATGGTATTCCACATACCAATGCTTATTGCCAGGAAACTCATTTTATAGAAATTCAAAAAGCAACGATTTGTTCATGATTAAAAAATTCACAGATCTTACTATTTTACCCATAACCCGAAGGCAACTGTCCTGATAGAATGATGCAGTGCCTTTGCAGAAGACTGTTACAGCACCAGTTAAATGGCAATGTTTGTGGATTACAATAATGTTTTGCTATGTGCTCTGAATCAGTGCCTAATACATGTTATTTTTATGCCATAGCCATGATACATAGGTACAGGAAACAAAGTAAGAAAATTGTATGCTTCTCCCATTACCTCTGATAATCTAAGTAAGAAATACTTCGAACAAGTAAAACACCAATGGTCCATTTAACTGGAAGGAGAAACAGTGCGAAGAAGACAATGGTTGTGCCGACTGGGATGATTGATCTTATCTATAATATGAAATTAGGTTGTTACTACACACTGGGAAAGAATATGTCTGGAAAACGACTGATATTTTCTGGGAATAATCTCAGTATCCCACGTCTAGTGATTACAATTAACTGAAAACGACAGCAGCTCAGTACAAGAGAAACACATAATAGTGTGGACACTTTGTTAAAGGAAAGTCTGAGTTGCCTTAACCAGTGGGCCACTATTATAGATTATAGAGGTAGAATGAATATTAGAAGAAGAAAGTTCTAATTTCTAGCTGCTACCACATTATTAATTGCTATATTATATATGTATTTTCCTCTTTGCTTTAATATTATTTGTATATATTAACCAATTTGTTTTATCTCCCTCTGACTAATATGCATTATTAGATGTTAAATCTCTCTAACTCAGTAATTAAATTACAGGATATCAAAGAGAGATTGTGACTTCACTAGAACAAGAATAAATGTGATCTGAAGATTATATGGTCTTTTCATCTCCTCTTTCTGGAAGAAAGTTGACAAGTCGTTAGTTTTATGTGAGATGGTTGCATTCAGTTGAGCTGAAGCATTATTTTATTAGTATTTTTATTCAGAAATTAAATATAGTTAAAAGGAGTGTGTATAGATGCCACATTGATGAAAGAATGGTCTGTAATAAATTATTTGCTTCAACTAAGCATCAACACACTTCATATTTCCCAGTATTCACCTACCTATACGAATTTGGGTTACAGTTTGTTCATGAGTGGTACTTGCCCAAAGTTTGGAGACAGACATGAAGTAGAGGCCATTATTATTCTAAGCTGTCTATAGCTGTCATATGTTGTGTGGTCAGAAGTGGTGATTGCCATGGCAGCTTCCAAATATACAGAAACTTCTACAAACACTGCCAGCTTTGCAGATCTATCCGTCACATCCTTTTGTGCTTGTAGTTGATTCTCAGATTTCCCCATGATTATTTTTTTTCTCCCCTCTAATGCTTTAGATCAATATCATTGTAAGTTATTTCTGATCCTTTGGCCACAGAAATCCAGACTTTCTCTTCTCCAATGCGAAACACATTTACGTAACCTGTAGTTTCTATGTGCAAACCTTATTTCCATACTTGCAGTGGTTCTCATTTTCTTACTAAATCCAAATAGAATAATTCACTAACGAATAAACAAAAGTCAGTCAAATGTGGACCAATGAAGTAAGTATGTTATTAACCAATAATTATGATTGACTCAAGTGTGGGCCTGTTGAAGTTCAGAGAAGAAAAACAAGATTAAATCAGCTGTAGTGTGATTATAAGTCACCTTCAATGCTTGTCTTAATTGAATAAACAGTATGTACACAAAGACTACAGGGAATATAAAGGAAGCATTTTAGATAGAGTCTTTTAATATCAGAAGCAAGACAAGGATAACCACCATCACCATTTCTAATTGTCATTGTACCTGTCTGTATACCTTGTTAATACAATTAAATAAGAAAAAAATAAGGTAGAAAGATTAGAAAAATTATATGGATATAAATGACAGTGACTTGTTAATACTTAGGTAACAGGAAGGCAAGAAGATATTCTTCAAATGTTGTTTTTCGAGGGAATAAGAACCAAATATACGAAATATTCTTTAGTAAAAGGAGGGTATGAGAAAGTTTATTAGTAGAATGGGAAAGTGAGTAAACTAGCAAACTCTAGTTGGTTCTCAGTACTGAAAGACAACTTGAGGTCTGTGGTCTTGAATAAAGAGATAACAATCATGGAGTTACTCATGTTTTCTCAGGCTATTTTCAGTTGATTGGATATGCGTGTGGAGATGCATATGGATTTAGCAGACTTCTGGTTAGGCAGTGTAAGTGTAGGTTAGAGCAAGATAGTTTGGGAAATGAGTAGAAAGATGAACACTCAGTTCACATTAGGCAAAGACAAATATGAGGATAAGAAGGGAAGACCCATTACAGTAGGAAAATGAAAGGTAGCGGGATCAAAAGAGTAGATTGGAGTATTTATGGAAGTGAGCTTGAAAGATAGGTAGTAGTCGAAGAAAAAGATAACAAAAATGGAAAGTGTAGAAATGACACAGTTGTTGGTAAGGACAGGTTACAAGAATTCTGTTGTAGGAATTGTTACTAGATCAAAAGTAAAATTCAATTACTGAAGGTAAAAAACATTTTTGAAAATGGGAGGAAGTAGATGGATTATATAAAAAGTGAACTCCACAAGAATTATGACAAAAGTAGTGATTGAAGTAAAGACAGTGAAACAGGTATTACAATCTTCAGTGAACGAATGACAATGGTTGGGAAGCTAGTTAACTGTATAATTTAATGTCATAGAATCCAAGCAAATCATTATTTATTTATTTGAGGAATGGGAGAAGGGTGGGTGTCAACAGTTTGAAAATAACAATGAGGATAAATTAGCACATATACCTTGTCCCTTGTCCTATAGTATACAGGATGTGAAAGGAAAAAAAAGCTTTCCAGGAAGAAAATGTTTTGCAACATATTATACAAACTATAATTATGATCAAACTTTTAATAAATATCGAGAGTTTAATATTCCAGATTACATTCTTTTTAGAGTAAGATTTTTACTTCGGAAATTATATATTTATAATTTTTTATCCAAAACATTAAACAGATTTTTATGTCTTTATAATGTGTTAATGGCCAGTAATATCCAACAATTATAATTTTTAAATCTTAGTCTCTTTGTCATCTGACAGATTTAATTCAGAATTTCTTAATTGCAAATATCTTTATCATGAATATGTTACGATAAATAAAATGTATATATTATCATACATATATTTTGATGATATGTAATTATTTTATATCAGAATTCTTTTCAAACATGTTTTTGAAAAATTGTTTATACTATTCTTCATTCTTGTATTTTACCTTCACAAATGGAAAACTAAATAAATGCAGTGCATCTAAAGAAAGATGTTCTAGAAGAGAAATACAGGACTTGAGTAATTCCCCAGTTGTTTCTAAAGGAAAAATAAACCACAATGAGATACCATCTCACACCAGTTAGAATGGCAATCATTAAAAAGTCAGGACACAACAGGTGCTGGAGAAGATGTGGAGAAATAGGAACACTTTTACACCGTTGGTGGGACTGTAAACTAGTTCAACCATTGTGGAAGTCAGTTTGGCGATTCCTCAGGGATCTAGAACTAGAAATACCATTTGACCCAGCCATCCCATTACTGGCTATATACCCAAAGGATTATAAATCATGAAGCTATAAAGACACATGCACATGTATGTTTATTGCGACAGTATTCACAATAGCGAAGACTTGGAACCAACCCAAATGTCCAACAATGATAGACTGGATTAAGAAAATGTGGCACATATACACCATGGAATACTATGCAGCCATAAAAAATGATGAGTTCATGTCCTTTGCAGGGACATGAATGAAGCTGGAAACCATCATTCTCAGCAAACTATCACAAGGACAAAAAAACCAAACACCGTGTGTTCTCACTCGTAGGTGGGAACTGAACAGTGAGAACACATGGACACAGGAAGGGGAACATCACACACCGGGGCCTGTTGTGGGGTGGGAGGAGTAGGGAGGGAAAGCATTAGGAGATATACCTAATGTTAAATGACAAGTTAATGGGTGCAGCACACCAACATGGCACATGTATACATATGTAACAAACTGCATGTTGTGCACATGTACCCTAAAACTTAAAGTATAATAAAAAAAATCCATAAAAGCAAATAAAGCAAGTATTTGAATATTTTCTTATTTTCAGCTCATTTCCTTCAACATGATAGAAGTATACCTAATGTATTATTTTTTCTAATAAAACCTCTTTTCACCCAGAAATATTCTGAAATTTAGTGGGGAGCAGTCTGGGTGAGGGTGAGGATAGAACCAAAGAATGTGAACAGGAGAACTGTGGTACCTATCAGAGTCAGAACTTTGTTGTGAATAGCAGCTTAGCAAAATAGCTTTGTAGTCTAGCCAGAATAGTGACCAGTTTTCTAACAGCAAATATCTGAAAGTTTTGCTTAGTTCTGTGACTGCACAAAAGCCCCTTGGTGACTTCATTTTGGAGATACTTTCTTTGCTACAGTTCTCTAAATGCTTATGGAAAGCTGTACCAAATAAATTATTTTTAAAAATATAGAAAAAGCTAATGAGAACAGTGCTGATAAATCATACCCGTGGGTTGAACTAAATTAGACATTGTTTACGTCAAAGCTTTAAAAAGGCACTTATAAGCCCATTTCTTTTAAACGTTAGCTTCATAGCAATGTTTACCTCATAAAACAAATGTTCAGTGTCTTCTAATAAGTAACTCACTCATAAACACATACATTTTGCCTGCATAATTGTCATAGAGCTATTTGTTCCCCTTGTGAAATGATAGCATGAATGAAAATTAAAGACTTAATGAAAGCTACATTTACGATTGTTAACTAAATTAGCTTTAACCTTGACTTTCCAAAGTCTGCAACTTTATGACAAAGATATTCATGCAGATAAAAAGATGCCATTCCCTATCCTTCATTATGCTCCAAAATACTTACACCTTAAAAATGGCCTTCAGGGGCTTATATAAATGGAAGAAGAAATACACAGGTACACCTATAATTACTTTCCTATCTTACAAATTGTCTTCCAAAATCTAATATGATAAAGCCCTTAAGGTTTTGGAAAATACGCTGTGTACATGTTCCAGGATACAAATAATTTTGGATTTGGTTATTGTTTTTCTAATCTTTTTTTATGAAAATTGTATATGTAACCTCAGGAAATCAATCATACAGTATAAAAATGATAATATGAGCAGAAGATGAAAAGAGAGGAGGCTGGGGATTCAAGACCAAATTAGAACAACATCTTCATATTCTGTAAGTAGCAGTAGTCAGAAAAGGGAACAGACATATTGCCTAATTTAGAAAAAAAAATACCTTTCAACTTTAAAATTACAAATGTCTATTTGGTGTTTTAAAAAATAATTGTGTCCAGTATCACTCAGAATTTATGCCCAGTGTGTTAGCTTCTTTTGTCATTGGAGATGAACAAAGAGAATATCAATTCAAAATCTTGCCACCTCAAACTCTTTGAACACTACCCATGAGGCCCTAGGTTTTATAATATTTCCTTTGTGTAAAAAGATCTACTATTTGAGGTAACTCAATGAATAAGTAGGTGTGACTAGTGAAGCATGTGGGTAAGGTAACCTGACAAAGCAGATGGAGTTGGGGTGGATGGTGGTTGCTGTACAGACATTTGGCTACCTAATTGGTGGCATAAAGAACTTAAGGTAAGCTCCTTCAGGATGGCACAATTTGTATTCCAGAGTTCTTTATACCTTATTTTAAAATAAAATTTAGTTTTACTTTCTCTGTTTTCCTATTCTGGTATATTTGCCTATGTTTCTGCTTAGCATCAGAGAAAGACTGCTTGCTATAACAAATGTATTTATTCAAATACCAAAAAGCCAAGCATTATAAGGTTCCAGAGGAATAGTTGGCAAAATTAAAATTTCTATGTTATAAAAATTACTGTGGTTGTCCATGTCTAAGCATACACTTAATTGGTAAAATACCTATGTTAAGTTGTAAACAAAGTATTTTATTAAAATCAAAGATATTATGTTAGGTTACAGTAATCCCTGTAGCAGCAGTCAATCCTGCCCATGTTGTCTTTAATGGGAATTTAAATACTTATTTTAAGAATCACTTTGTAATAATCAGATCAATCAGCAAGCCCCAGCAATTAGGTTACTCAGTGTTTCCCGGCCTTTGGTTATCTTGCCACCACAGGAACAATTCATGAGTAAGCAGTTAGAAATGGAATCATCAAAGAAGACAAGATCACTATCTCCCAGTTGGAATAAATCTTGAATTAATGAAGTGTTCTGTGTGACACGGTCATGAACATAAACTTATTTGTGCATTTTGCTCCTTGCTTTGTTCTTGTCTGAACTAAGTCTTAGAGAACTTCAGGACCAGGCAAGCGAAAGAGGAAGGAAACTTTTAAGTCGGGCAAGTGTGTGAATTCATTCGATAGAGAAGAATGCTATTTGGAAAGGGATTAATTGTTCTCTGTTAACTACCACCATTTTATACATGTGATTACAAATACGTATACACGCATGCATCCATACTCATATGTGCAGACCTACACACATATGTACAGACACACACATGTATGACCTTTCACTTTCTGCTGGTACTTCTGACCTTCCACTCATTGGAAAAGATTCTAAATCCTATCCATTGACTGGTGGGAAGAGTTGTTTATAACAAAAATGCAGCAAAAGTGCTTTGAGTTTGATGCTCTGAGTAGACAAAAATTCAGAGAAAAACATATGGTCTATAAAATATTACCCAGAAATAGAAACAAATAAATAAATTAAGTAAGTCGTGGACTAGGTTACAAATAAGTAAAATGAAATATGGGATGAATAAATGCCAGTGGGTTACTGAAAAGAGGTTCTGTTCCCTAAGTTACACCCACTCTCTCCATACTTCCTCCCATTCTGACTTGAGCTTGGAAGAAGGTGATGACAGATGATAGTGTTATTGAAATCTAAGGACAAAGGAGATCTTTTATCCCTCTCTCAGGCAAAGCCTGGGAAGGTGGCAAGGCCCCACAGTGAGAATAGCTGCACAGTAGTGCTTTGGTCTCATTGAGGTTCCCCACGACTATAGAAACGTGTAGAAAGAGTAGAATAATTTATATGCCCCGCAAAACAGTAGAAAATGGTGACAGTTTTTCATAATGCCAGGGGATGAAGCACAGTAGAATAGATTTCAGCTATCTTGGAGAACACAAAAAAATACCAAAGAGCTACATCCTGGAGTCACTCACTCGCATGCAAGCTTCAACTTATTCACAGCAGAAATAAACATCTCACTACATATCAGTGGACAATGCATTGTGTTATCCGATTCTCACAAAAACACCATCCGTAATTTATAGCTAGAATTCAAACTTAGAACTCTCAAATTGAATTTGATGAAGTCTTCATAATTCTGCTGTGAACACTACTTCAATTTTATTTTTGTTGATTGAAAAAATAAGTGAATGAATGTAATTGAATTGATTTTTCTATACAGCAACTGAAAGGTCTTAAATAATTTCAATTTATAAGTGATTTGATAATTTTATTTTACATGTAATGCAATAGTCTAGTTCTTATTTGAATTTCTATCAAGTGGATGTTCTTTGGCTATGTTAGGAGTCATGCACTCTCTCTGACCCAGAGTAAGGATATATGTCAAGAATTTATGGCCACATTCTGGCACTTACAACTCTATCGAAATTTCCATTTCATGATAAAGTTGATAATGCATATCTCCAGTTAGGTTTTCTTATCCATAAAGAACTGTTCTTAAAAGCTTTCTATACAACAACCGGTTTAACTTTATTTCTGCAAATCAGTTCAGTCAGGAGTGTATGCTTGTAACTTTGCTAAAGGAAAAAATTACTTATGTTTTTAGAATGACAAGAGACAGGCAACACAGGATAAGTTTTTAAAAAGCTAGAAGCAGTTGCTTTCATAAAATGAGGAAAGCACATACTTTTATCTGAGAGGCAAGCTGTTTTCCCTCTGATAAAGTGGCCATAATCAGATAATAAATGCTGTGGCCCTTGGTTAATCATTTAAATGTATTTAAAAGTAAGTTAGATAGCCTAAGATATTTTTATATTCTCAATATTAATATTTTAAATATATTTCTGTGAACAGTTAAAATTTAAGTAAAAATTTTTAATCTTTTTACAATTTTATTATGGGTCTATTTTAAATATGCTTTTTTTTCTTTCTCTACTCCTTTGTGAAACAACGTATAATCATCCAAAAAGTATGATTCCTATTGTACAGGTATTAAATTGAGGCTATAACCCTTTTATTTTTAAAACAATAAATTTTACTCATTGACAATATGTTGTCTCAAAGATCTAAAAATCATTCTCATTTTTGGCTCACGCCTGTAATCCCAGCACTTTGGGAGGCCGAGACGGGTGGATCACGAGGTCAGGAGATCGAGACCATCCTGGCTAACACGGTGAAACCCCATCTCTACTAAAAAAATACAAAAAATTAGCTGGGTGTGGTGGCGGGCGCCTGTAGTCCCAGCTACTCAGGAGGCCGAGGCAGGAGAATGGCGTGAACCCGGCGGCTGGAGCTTGCAGTGAGCCGAGATTGTGCCACTGCACTCCAGCCTGGGTGACAGAGCGAGACTCCGTCTCAAAAAAAAGTATTCTCATTTTATTGGAAAATGATGTTATAAATGTATGCTAATTGTAGTTTTAAAACCAAATCATATGATGGTTAAATTAATTTCACATATACAAAGAAAATGTAAATAAACTAAAACGGAAATCTCATTTATAAAATGAATTGCCATAATCCTAGAATGAACTTTTGTTCTTTAAGTATTGTCTCTTTCATTCTTAATAATGTGTAACCATTCTGGGACTATCGAAGTTACAGTTTCTCCCCCATCTGCTATGCATTTGAGTATGTATTCTTATGACCAAGAAGGTGCAGAAAGTTAGCTCTTGTTAAAGAGAAAGGCAGAAAAGCCATACAGAAATCACTGCCAGATTCTTGGGTCGTGAAGAGACAAAGCATGAAATGCAATAGTGACAACGATGAAGAGTTTTGACAAAAATGGCCTGATTTTCATTTACCTCTGATGCCCTGGGCTTCAAATCTGAGAAAAGACATTGTAGCACGGAAAATCAGCAGTAGCTACAATCCAGCGTGGCTATCATCCAACAGGAGCAATGGAGCAGAATAAAATAAATCAAAGCTTGAGGGATTAGAGTTTAATACCATTTTATTAAAGACAGAGAGACACTACATGCACTAAGCTTCCTATTCTATTAAATAACACATAAGTGACTTTTGATTTGATAGTTATTTTAATTCATGCTGTATGCATGTAATAACATTCTCTCATTTGACATTCCAAGAATACTCATTCAATGAAAAGTTACCAGTTCTGCAAACATGGGAAGAAGGAATTTTCTCTAATATTTCATTTCTATTAAGAGATTACATGTAATCAAGAGGGTCTTAAACACTGTCCTCAGCTTGACTAAACTTCAGATAGTCTTCTTCCTGACTACAGGCCCCTGACCTCCTTTTACTTTAAGCATTTACTTTATAAAACTTGTAAATTTTTTCTCCGCCTCTTTGAGATAATGTAAATATTTTTATATGACTCTTACCAGTTTTATGACCTTGGGATATCTTTCTGAATGACCTAGAAATGATCTCTTAGAAGTGGAATCATCAAAGAAGACAAGATCACTACCTCCCAGTCTCTGTTATGGTAGCAACATAATTTCAGTGGGCTCCAATTAGCAAACATGAAAGGCCTAATCACAGAGAAAAGCATGAGTAAACTCGGGAATAATTTATAGTGCTCAGTATATCCCTGGATCAACCTCCCCCTAAGTTTTCCACTAGTGCAACCCAGTACTTAAAAAAAGTGATGAAAGAAAAGAAAAGGAAAAGGAAATGGAAGGAAAAGAAACACCTCTTGTCTTTGGTTTCAGCAGAGTTGAGCTCAAAATGAGTTCTAGCCTTTTTTCTTTATCACAATATCAATGGGGAAAGTATTCCCTATTTAATAAATGGTGCTGGGATAAATGGCTAACTATATACAGATGATTGAAACTGGACCCCTTCCTCATACCATGCAAAAATGCAACTCAAGATGAATAAAAGATTTAAATGCAAAACCCAAAACTATAAAAACCCTGGACGACAACCTAGGCAATACCATTCTGGACATAGAAACTGGCAAAGACTTCATGATGAGACACCAAAAGCAATTGTAACAAAAGCAAAAATTGTCAAGTGAGATCAAATTAAAGAGCCTCTGCTACGGGGAAAAAAAAAAAACGGAATAAACAACCTACCAAATGGAAAAAAATATTTGCAAATTTTGCATCTGACAAAGGTCTAATATCCAGCATTTATAAATAACTTAAACAAGTTTACAAGAAACAAGCAAACAACCCCATTATGAAGTGGACAACAAGAGTGAAACTCCATCTCAAAAAAAAAAAAAAAAAAAAAAAGGAGTGGACAAAGGACACAAACAGACACTTTTTAAAAGAAGACCACATGTTGATACATGTGTTCAACAAGCATATGAAAAAAAGCTCAATATCACTGATCATTAGAGAAATGCAAATCAAAACCACAATGAGATACCATCTTATACCAGTGAGAATGGCTAATATTAAAAAGTCAAAAAAATAACAGATGCTGGCAAGATTGCAGAGGAAAGGGAATATTATGCATTATTGGTGGGGGTGTAAATTAGTTAAATCATCATGGAAAGCAGCATAACAATTCCTCAGAAAGCTAAAAACAGAAATACCATTTGACTCAGCAATCTCATTACTGGGTATATACTTAAAGGAATATAAAGTGTTCTACCATAAAGACACATGCATACATATATGCATTGCAGAACAATTCATAATAGCAAAGACATGGAATCAACCCAAATGCCCAACAATGGTAGACTGGATAAAGAAAATGTGGTACGTATACGTCATGGAACAGTATGCAGCAATTAAAAACAAATGAGAACATGTCCTTTGCAGGAACATGGAGAGAGCTGAAGGCCATTTTCCTGAGCAAACTAACACAAGAATAGAAAACTAAATACCACATATTCTCACTTACAAGTGGGAGCTAAGTGATGCGAACACGTGGACACAAAGATGAAAATAACACACACTGGGTACTACCTGAGGGTGGAGGATGGGAGTGTTACTAGCAGCAAACCTCAATTCTTGCCTCCTCAGAAGAAAGAATTCAATGGAGGGGCATAAGGCAGAAGGAGAGACTGAAGCAAGTTTTAGAGCAGGAGTGAAAATGTATTAAAAAGCTTTAGAACAGGAATGAAAGGAAGTAAAGTACACTTGGAAGAAGGCCAAGAGGGTGACTTCAGAGATCAAGTGTGCAGTTTGACATTTTGACTTGGGGTTTTATACGTTGGCATACTCCTGGGATCTTGCATCCCTTCTCTCCTGATTCTTCACTTGTCGTGGGCTCTCTGCATGTGCAATGGCCGCTGGCACGTGGAAGGTGAGCATGTGCAGTGTGTTTACTGTAGTTGTATGCGTGCTCACTTGAGGCATCCTTCCATTACCAGTCAATATCCCTGGAAGGTCAAAGTTAAATGTCACCATTTTCTCCCTTAATGCGCATGCTTGAGCCCACTCACCCAGCTCCTGAGATCTTATGAGGAAGCTGCCGATCACCAGTTTCAGGTTTTTCTATCTATTGGGAGACTGCTTTTCCCTGGTGCTGGCTGAAGTCAATTATTATTTTAGAGAGACAGTTAACAATCACCTGACCATCACCTGATGGTCTCCTGACATTCCTGGTGGGGTGTTGGTGGAGCCCTCTCCAGCCCTGCTCATGCCTGACTAGCTACCTACTGTAATAGGAGGAGGGAGAGGATCAGAAAAAAATAACTATTGGGTACTCAGTACCTTGGTGATGAAATAATCTGTACAACAACCCCCCACAACACAGTTTTGCCTATATAACAAACCTGCACATGTACCCCTGAACCTAAAATAGAAGTTAAAAAAAAAAAAAACTTCCTTGCCTATTTGGCTTTGCTTAGTGTGATGCTTTCTTTGACCTAATGCACTTATATTTTGCAGCATCATAAGAAAATACAGCCATAATTCATTCATCATTCCTTGATTCAGAACACTAATTAATTCATTAATTCTTGAAATATGTTTTAATATATTATAGTGCCAGAGTCTTTGGAATACATGAGACACAAAGAAGAAATATTCTTATTACTCATATTATAATAACCAGAAATTTTTAGACTCCATTTTTTAAAGTATATGTGAAAAGTAGAGATTGTTTTCAGAGAGAATTACTTTCCCAAAGCTAACAATTCATGATCTACCCAGGAGATACTTGTTTGTTTACTTTTATTTCTTTATATATTTTATTTGCCTGTTTACTTTTTGTTATTTGTCTTTTCTAAGTGGGAATCCTGGAAAGAGCCCAAAGCCTTTGAACAAGGCTACAAACAAATGAGAAAGTTGGATTGTGTTCATTTATTTGGTACCACAAGAGAAGAGCTTTTGTTCTTTACTTGTTGTAGACATTTAATCATTCACTTCATTTAATATTCATTAAGATATAGGTATGCAAATATACAAAGCTGAATAGGTGCTTAGTCTTTCTATTCCTCACTTTTTAGAAAGAAATATCTAACTTAAGTTTTATGTATGATTTGCTTATGGACAAGCAGTCTATTACACCAAAATGATATCAGCCATATTATAGAGCTTGATTTGGAAAGAGGCAAAGTGACTGATATTTTGAATTTGATGCAAGTGTGAAAATAGATCCTATATATTAGGGTCTAAATCATACCTCACAAAATGAGAGCACTCCCCAGGTAGATAGATTTCTGATGGAGATTTTGTGTTATTATCTAGAACAAATATTCAACTTGATAAAGCACAATTATCACAACATCAATTATAGGAAAATAAACAACTTACCCATTTTGAGGCTATGAGAAAACAAATTGCCACAACTGACCTATTAATGATAGCTATTTAAAAATGTTAAAAACTTGGGGAATTAAAAAGTAGATTTTGACAAGACCCTGGAGTAAATGCACCATTCCACATATGTCTGACTTTATATTTTTAATGCATTGAAACCTCCTGAAGAGCCCAGAGAATTGGAAAAAAATTTGGACACACCTCCATGTGTTATTTCCTGACTGAAGGGTAGGTGAAAGGATAATTGGTGAAATCTGTAAAACAGATCAACACTTACAGAAGAAGAAAACCACAAAGGCCATTTACCCCAGGTAGAGAAAGAGTCTAATCAGGTTAACGATGAGAGAAATAGCCTTCTTTGCAGGTTCTGATTGCATGAATTTTCTGGCTCAGTAATGAGAGAACCAAAGTACACATGAAAAAGAAATCCAACAAGAAATTGCTGAAAACTAGCAATTTTCCCCTGTAGATTTTTTAAGGTAAATAAAGGAAGCACATTAAAAGTATAAAAAGAATGCTCACTGTAGAATAATTTTTAATAGCTAAAATCTCAAAATAACCTAAATATTCAATAATAGAATGGTTATGTAAATAATGGTTTAGTTGTAATGAAAAAATACTAAGCAGATATTCAAAATCATGTTCAAAAAGTTAATGACACAGAAATATTCATATAATTTAAAGGACAAAAGCAGTTTAGAAAATGCAATTTATGCTATTAACATGATTACCTAATATATATGTGTACACATAAAAATATTAAAATTTGAACTAGAATCAAATTATTATGCTTCTCATTGTAGAGATCATAATTTTTTCTTCTTTTATCTCTTTTTCAAATTCTCTGCACTAAGAAAATACTGCTTCTCTAATTAGAAAAAATATCCAAAATAAATAAATAAAAAATATTAAGACTAAAATTTTTTCCAACCTGTAAGATAAAAAGTTAGTCTGGCCAAGCTTCATGGATGCTGAGTCAGAGGTAAAGTACTTTGTTAATCATGACAACAGCAGACAGCATAAGCTTCATATTCTCACTGGTCCCCTTAGCCCTCAAGTTCCACAGGCGTGAGGAGGAAAACTTAGTGTACATGGAGTCTATTTGTATCACAGTCCAGGAACCCTGAGTTTAAGAAACCTGGACCTTTTGGAGCTTCTAGCAAATGTGCCTAAAGTTTGTCCCAAAGGGAGAGAAAATCTTTATTATACCCTTCAGGAAACAAGTCTGCGCTCTGCCTCGGATGGAGATGTTATTTCTGTCTTCAAAGCTGTCTGCTATTAAAAACATCCATGAAAACATAGTTTGCCAAAAGCATCCAATGCCTCTTGTTTAGCTCAACTGCAGAAATTTAAGAGAGTCATTGCAAGCATTGTCTCCCAACAGAATATAAATCTCCAAAATCAGTGTCTGCTATGTCTTTATATTGTGAACGTGTTGGCAAAAGGAATAGTGCCTTTAAGATATGTTGTTGTAATTATTAGTACTGACATCACACTCCCTGAGTCTGCAATGAAGTTCTTCATAGGACAGTACTAGTACTTGCATTATAATCCTATTAAGGATCCGTGGACTTGACACCCTCTTGCGATACCTGCATTTCACTGCTAAACAAACACTGGCTTGTCCTTTAGTTATTACAGGTGGTTTCCTGCATCTGTTTCTTTCCAAAGGAATCCCTGAGTCAAGGAATAGATCTGATCCCTTGAACACATACTATGAGGGGAAGGTGGGATGAGGATCTTCAGGAAACCAGCCTACTTCAGAAGTCAGAATGTGAATAGGTAAAATACATTTCTAACATCATTGAGATATATTCTCCAGCCCGAGTCCATAAAATTTTTTAAAAATAAGCTATTAGGTAGACAAAATGAAACTATCTGACTTTGGTTCATATATTAAAACCCCTTCTTCCACAAATGAAAATCCTCTATTGCTCAAAAGGATTCCTCAGATATCTAAGTTCATTATTAAATCTTAATTATTTGTGACATTAGAGAAGTTGCATTCTACTACTTACATTCTTTGATCTGTGCTTCTTTAATTCTTCTTTATTATAGATAGAGATCTAAGTTAAGTCACCAGGAGTAACATGGGCAAATGTCACATTATTTACCATAACTATAACTTAAAAAAAATCACTTGATCCAGTAGTTTTTATTTTCACTACTACTAGCTCTATCTTTACCAGCATTCTGTTTGAAAAGAAGTCAGATCTGAAAAAGCATGTTGGTTTCCTAGAAAAGTCCATAAATGGAATAAAAATATTAAAATCAGATAGTTTTTTAAAAGTGGTCATTGAACCTAGTGCTTTAATGGAAAAGCAATAATTTACCATTATGGTAATTTTCAGGATTTGCAAACACCAATTCAGTAGAAAAACGAAGAAAATTAGTAGACTGCATGATGATTATGCTAGCTTTCTTTTATATCTCTGTTCATATGACCTGCTGAATAAATGATTATAAATTTAGTTAATGATTATACTGGAACACAAGTTGATAGGTTTGGCTCTATGTCTCCACCCAAATCTCATCTGGAATTGTAATTGCCATAATCCCCATGCACTAAGGGAGAGAGCAGGTGGGAGGTGATTGGATCATGGGGTGTTTTTTTCCCCATGCCGTTCTCATGATAGTGAGTGAGTTCCTACAAGATCTGATGGTTTTATAAGGCAGTTTTCCCTGCTCTTGCTGGCTCTCTCTTGCCTGCCACTGTGTAAGATGTGCCTCTTCCCCTTCCACCCTGATTGTAAGTTTTCTGAGGTCTCCCCAGCCATGCAGAACTGTGAGTCAATTAAACCTCTTTCTTTTATTAATTACCCAGTCTCAAGTATGTCTTTATAGCAGTGTGAAAACTGACTAATACACAAATCTTCCCTTTTTTTCATTCTACTAACCTAGCAACAGTTAAATAAATAGAATGCTCTCCATACCAAGGACAATGCTTGCTATATAGGCGAGTTAAAAAAAATCGCTATTTTTAACATTGATATTTGAAAAAGTTAATATGAAGTGTTACAGGACAAAAGTAGATCAAAATATTATTTCTTTAGGTTGAAGTGAGGATGTGTTTTTCCCTTCTGTGAGGGAGAATTTATCTCTACATTTAAAGAAAAACAGTATCATCTAATTTTTTATTAATAAAATATGGTTTAATACAATAACAATTTAGTGGCAAGAAGAAGAAAATAAGTAGCTTATGTTGCTCCAACTCTTAATCCCTTTATTCATCCAGTCCACAAATATTAACTAAATTAATGTTTACAACTTCAGAGGTTCTCAAATTTACGTACTTGTAAGTTGTTTAAGCTTAGGCAAACCAGGGTAATTTTTTATGTTTTAGACTCCTCATATGTAAAATGTGGTTAAAATAGTACCTACGTCATATGATTGATTTTAGAATAAATTAAATCAACATATATGTAGAACTTACAGTGGCAACTAGATCATATAAAAAACTCAGTAGTATTTGGCTATTGTTACATTTATCATTTTTACTCCTTTTTTGGAGTACTGTTATGGTCTACTCACTAACTAGAAATTCTAGTTTCTTTTCCTCTCCCCTCTTTTTTCTTTTCACCTGCTGTTTTCATCAAAGTAACCTGTCTAAAGCACAATTCAGATCTTTCTTGCTCAAAACCCTTCAATACCTCATACAAATTTCAACCACTACAATTTGACACCAATCTAGTCCCTCCACATTTATTTCATAAAACTGCCCTTGCCTACTTTACAAGGTGTAAAAATAGGAATAGTTAGAGTTCTGAGCTTTCTTGATGTCATGCATTTCCTCATGCTTTCTGGGTTCTCCAACTACCAATAGTTGGCTGAAATCTTTTATCCTCCAAGTTTTATTTTAGAATGAAACTTCCCCAGAAAGTATTTCTGATTCTCACAACTAAACATAAACTCACAACTAGAACAATATAATCTGTCTTTTGAGCCCCCCACAATACTTTGCTAGTATTTTTCCCATATAAATTCCTAGCTTACTTTTTTGTTTTCTCTGTGAAACGGTGTGTCCCTCTGTTGCTGACACATGGCTCACTGCAGTCTCAAATTCCTGGGCTCAAGCAAGCCTCCCACCTCAGCACCCTGAGTAGCTTGGACTATAGGCATGTACCACCACACCTGGCTAATTATGTATTCACTAACATATCTAACATATATTAATATATATTAGTATAGTACATATTGTAATAATAGTAATCATTGGTATATTTATTATACATATTATATTTACATGTGTGTGTATATAAATAAATATACATAGAGAGAATATACTCCTCCAAAATGTGCCTACTAAATTTTGCTGACATTCTACAAACTGCCAAAGGAGCAATTCTTAAAACACTGAAAATAACAATGAGATCTTTTAATTGAGTTCAAATAGGCTTTGAGAGAATTATTTCAGTCTAGTATGGTCAAACCCAACTACTTGTACCTATGATGGTGATTTTGTTTTGTTTTTAATGTTTCTGCCCCTTACATAAACTTCCTAAAAACACATTTAACCTATAACATTATTTTAGTCTTTAAGCTCTTCTTTGTAGAACCCACAGGGTTCTTCTGAAGGATACAGAAGCAATCTTACCTAAGGCCTAGAAGCAGTTCTGAAGGAGGGAGATACGTAACCACAGGAGCCTAGTTCACCTTGAAAATGGACTCTGAAGAGCTGTAACTCTGCATCCCAAAGAAAATATCCCCAGGGCCTCATTGCTGCCTATCCCCAAATTGTGCTATACACATGCAAGATTCAGTACTACATGGTGAGAATGGAAGCTTTCAGAAGTGTGAGAACTGATGATCAAAGTGAGCTGACGGCACTGGGGGAAGGACACATTTTCAAAGCAGGCGAAAGCAACCAGTGCAAATTATACCTTAGAGGATCTAGAGTTCAAACGATCTTTACTTTAACGGCAAGTGAGGAGACACTACTTTTGAAAAATAATTTTCTTTTTCACATCTACCTTTATTATCTTTAAATTAATGTAAAAGTCATGATATAGCTATTTGGAAATAATAGTATTTCTATGACCTCTAAAATCTGGACAGTAAAAGAGTCAGCATTCTCTTTTTTAGAAGGCATCTTTTAGGACTCAAACGTGGTTGAGAATGCATGAGAATACAATTGTGTGATTCTTCTTTAAAGCCATTCTTTGTGTTTGGTGCTGAAAAAAATGACAAACTTGCTAAGGGATGTATAATGCTATCATAGTGTATTGCATAATAATTTTCATGGATTGGCTTTTAATCTTATGCTGTAACTTCAGCACACCACATAGCTATTCTGACATCTACTACCAAGTCCATCATTTACAATTGCACAGAAATCTAGGACACTGTTCAACAGCCATTTTCTCTAAAGGGCCAGATAGTAAATATTTCATGCTTTGCAGGACATATTGTCTTTATTGCAACTACTCAAGTCTGCCATTGTAGTTCCAGACCAGCTATGTGCAATATGTAAGTAAATAGTTGTGCTCCAAACAAAACAAAATAAAACTAACAAACAAAAAACAGGTAGTGAGCCAGATTTGGCCAGGCCATACTTTATCAACTATTAGTCTAAAACATTCTTTTAGTGTTATAGCTACAAATTGAAGAGTGTTTTTAGGATAAAAGAACCCCTGTTTATCTGCGTTTTATTTTCCTTCTTGCATTTTATTCAATCATCTTACACTCTAGTCAAAAGGATTTACTTATTGTTATCCTTGCTCTGTTTGTATTTTCTCGCATTTGAAACATCAGTCCTGCCAGAAATTCCTATCTTAACATATTCTTGCCCAGAAATCTCATTTGTATTTCAAAGACCAACACTAAACTTGCTTTTTTTTCACTTTTGTCTTCTTCAGTTGTGTTATTCTTCCTCTTATTTCTTAAAGCAATGTGTCTGCAGATTCTTTAAAACCCTCTCATTTCATTCTCTGTAATATTGTTATCAACGTGTATTTAGATGAATTAATTCACTTCAGACTTCTTCCCTTTTCAAATTGACCAGCACAGTGTTTTCTATAAAATGTTCAATAAATAGTTATTCTGCTAATAATTGCCTTAATAACCACTTATATTTGGAAGGGGAAAGAAAAACATTTAAGGTAAATGTCATGGGATCAATTTGGCTAGAAAACTCCAAGTAAATCATGAGTCACTTAGCATTATTTCCATAATACTTTTATAACAGCGCCTACCCATATTGAGGACTTCCAAACTTGGCTGAGAGCCTTGGACACTTGATACCATATTTTTGATATCATATTTTAAAATAAGAAATTGTTATAATGTATCAAAGTTGATTCATCTGTTTTATGAAATCATTTAATTTCCCTTGTAAAATGGAAGGGAAATATCATGTAAATATGTAAACAGCTTTTAAAACAAATAAGGATGATTGCTTTCTAATGGCATCTAACTTACTAAGTTTGTGTTTTATTAGCATTTCAATATAATCAGAGATAATTGTATTCTTCTTTGAGAACATGTCACCAGACATTAGAAAATTGCAAATTATCAAATAAATATTACTCGCTCCCATTTAATATGTATATTCACCAACAAATTAATCGGTTTTTTCTCCTTAATTTTTTACTCAATAGGAGAGACTCAATTTTCAATAAATACATTTTAAAAAAGAAAATCATGAAAGTCAAGTATAGATAATATTTTCATGAAAATGCTTATTCTTACATCTTTTTTTCGAAAATTTTCTTATTTATCATTTTTTCCTTTTAATTTTTTTCCTAAAAATTATCCTAGTTCTCATAGCATTTTAGTGTTATGAAAACTCACCTACGTTTACATAGAGCTTTATTTTTTGCCCCTCATTTGGAAATGAGATATCCCTTTCTGTCCTGGGGTCTTTTAGGTTTAAATGATTGTTCTGAGAGAGAATCACTGAGAGCTGCAAGGGACAAGGCAGGGTCAACGGGAGGCTGCAATAATGAGAATTAGACATAAGTCTTTATTCTGGATCATAAATCAGGTCTTAAAATACCAGATAAGAGTTCAGAATAATACCCAGAAGGCAGAATTTTAAACACAAGCTGAAACTGCCATTGCAAAAATTGTAACTAAGAAAATTATGACAGTGAAAGAGATCGGACCTAACAAACTCCATCTTGTTTCTAACCTTTAAGCTGTCCTTGTTCATTCCTGGGCATAGGCCGGACTAACCTAGGGAATGAATTTAGTTTATGGTTTGACTCTGAAACAAAATTGATAATAGCCCTTTCCTGAAAAGACCCCCTTCTCGCTTTGGGACCAGTCTGCCTTTGTAGGACTAACACATTAGCTACAACATTCGAAATTACTGTTTAGGGCTCCTGCAGCCTCTGGCTGCAAGTCCGAACCTCCTCAAATTGTTCCTGGGGATAACATCACTATTGTAAAACCTAAGATCAGTGCTTGAGATATTTTGCAGACCCTGCACTCTGATGGATCACCTGACATCACTCTGGTAATCTGACTCAACCAGTTCTGCAATACCACCCAGGAAGAGAAGATAGCAAGAAAATCTCACTTCCACTGCCCCTGTGATTCCATCTCCAACCTGAGCTCTCCACACTTCCCAACACCTACCTGCCAAACTATCTTTAAAAACTCAGATCCCTGTATGCTAGGAGAGGCTGATTTGAATCATAATAAAACTCCGGCCTCCCACATAGCCAGCTCTGCATGAATTACTCTTTCTCCATTGCAATTCCCTGTCTTGATAAATCAGCTCTGTCTAGGCAGCAAGCAAGGTGAACCCATTGGGTGGTTACCAATTCAAGTTGTCTTAGAAGAATATTTATAAGTCTTGAATCTACAAAGTCAGCCCAGGTATAATGGGAACTATTTATTTAAGTTAAATTACCTTCTCTGGATTCAAGTTACCAAAACAAAATTGATGAAGTGGAAGTAGAAAAAAAGGAATTTATTTTAAGGAAATAGAGGCTAGGTCTTAGTTGTTTTTTAAGATTTGAAGTTAATACTAGAGATTGTTGAAGCTTTTGGATGTTATTGTAAGTTTCTGGACTTCATGAAGACCACAGAGCTTCTGGATCGTTTTAAATTGAAGATAATTAGATAGAAAGCACTGATTAATCTTTGAAAGCTCTCGATTACTTAATTTCAGAGTCATAATTAAAGCAAAAAATATTTTCTAAGGAAGACTAAGCATAAACATCTTTGTGAAGAAATTCTTATGAATTCTAAATCTTAGTTTAACAACAATATTGGTTCAATGGTTACAGAGCAATGAAACAGGAGAGAATAATTTGAAATATATTGGAAAATATGGTTTAATGGGTATTCAATCAATTTGAAAGCATAAGTTAATGAGTTAGAATGAGAATGAGCACAGCTTCTGAATGGAGCTATTTCAAGATAGTTTTATATGAAGAATAATACTCTTAGTTATCTAATTTAATTTCTGTAGCAGGAAATGAAAAGCCCTTGAGTAGACATCTGAGGGATATCTTACCTGCATCCACCCCTATGTATTCTTCTGGGAACTTCTGTTTTCTTTGTTTATCTTATTAATTTAGAGGCCAATCTGTTTGTAAAACCTAGGCCACAGTGGTCAGAAATAATTACCTGAATCTAGCTGGAGCAATTAGCCTTTTAATTTTTCAAATTAGAAAATGAGTTTAAGAGTTCTCTTCTTTGTGGTTTGGGTTCTTGGATGGAAAAAATAATTCAGGAATATAGGTTTTCTGAGATGTGAAAAAGAACCTGTCTTTAGTAAGAAAAATTTAATGCCAAAATGAAGAGAGCTGGAAATATGAAAATGGAGGTAAAATATGCAGCAACAGTTGAATCCTTGCTTATGGATAGTGTCAGAATGTGACCACATCCCTGCCCTTCCAGTGGTTTTGTGGTTTCACATTTTCTTGTTCAATGACACAATAAATAACTTTATATAATATTGTTTGAGTGTTCTTTCTACTTAACAATACTGTGTACTCCTTTTCTTCTTCTTCATGTATTTGATGTATCTCTGTTAGGTTGTACGGATACAAAGAAGATTTTTTTACAGATCTTAATGTGTTATTGGAGATGTAGAATAAATATTCAAAGAGACTACTTCAGGACCTCTTTGGAAAATGGATGGAATAAACACTCAGTGTACTTGAGAGAGTATTGTAGTTATTTTTAGCTTCAGAGCTCTTTGGTCAATATGACTTAAATGTTTACATGAGTGTTTAAAGCAACTGACTAGGCTAATGTTTTTAAAATAAACATACTATCTTCTTCCCCTATCCCTCCTTCCTTCTGTACCTTGCTATCTTCTTTTTTTCCTTAATTCTTTCCTCTTTTCCTGAAAAAGTCAGTCTAAAAGGTATTCCTTAGGGGTGTCGAGTATGGTGGCTCTCCATATGGAGGAGGGAAGGCAGCAGGTTGGGTGAGGTTTGGAGCTGTATTAGAGTGAAGATGGACCCTGTTTGAGGAAGCGATGGCAACTGTGTCAGCCTGGTATTCAAAGTAAAGGCCTGAATGTGGTGAAAAGGCTGCCTCAGAAAAGAACATCTTCAATGCCAGTCGTCGACAGTGGAGTTCAGAGCTCAAGCAGAGTGAGCAGGGCATTTTAACAACCAGTTGCAAGGTGATTGAAACAGAGCAGGACGAAGAGTGGCCATCCAGGAATTTGGCGGCGGCTGCAAGAGTGAAAGTCCTGAGTAGGATGAAGAAGACATCAGTTTGTGTGTGCAGGTGGGGGAGGAGATGCAGGCAGTGATGGAAGATTGGTTGTATTGGGAAGAAGGTGCATGTGATTAAATATATCTATATGTATGAATGTATGTATATGTGTATATCATATATATGAATGTATCTGTATATATATGATATATACATCTATATGATATATACACCCATATATATATGCATGTATATATATGATATCAGAATATCAGAATCAGGTTTTTTACTGTGAGAGAAGAAAAATACAAACACGGAAAGGAAGAAACAAAAATTGACTCTTTGGTTTTTGATTCAAATTAGAAGTATCGGAGTGAATTTATGGATTGTGATAACTAAATTGATTGACAGAGAGAGATATACATGTAGATACACATATATATTCTCCAACTCTTTCTTCTAAGAAAGCCTAGGAAGAGTAACACCCCTATAGCAATGATCACACTTGCAAATAAATCTTTGCTTCTAAGTCTTATTCTCCACTAAAGGCACCAAGGCTATGATAAATGGATAATTTCAGGATTGGAACAAGAAAAATATATGACTGGCCTCTATAGAATAGTCTTGAAAGGGAACACACTGACCAAATCCAGCATAATTTGAACAGCAAATTAAGTCATAATAGGAATGAATTCAAAATCATTGAAGAAAGTAGAAAATCATGAGTCCTTATTGGTTTGAAAAACAGAGTCACAAATAAATGGAAGAAGAGAAGCTCTTCCATGTTGTATAATCCTAACTACTAACTGTGTAAAAAAATGACAACATTAGAATAATCACGATGCAGAAATCATTATGGTAAAAATTAATTCAGCCAAGAAAAATCTGTGGTGTTAAATCTAGTGGGTGTATGTTTGATCAGTACAGGAAATTTACGTAGTCTCAAAGTACCTCCTTACAAAATATTTACTAATTGAAAGGGAAAATAGGTTACCTAAAATGGAAGAACCTGGAAAATCCTATCTTAACACAAGTGATGAATGTTTACTCATTCATAATAGGACAAATTGAAATTATTTACCACCTGATATATTACAATGAATGGGACACAACATTATTTGTTTGATTTTCCTGCCTAATGTGAATAACTTGAATCAAATCATGAGGAAAATCATAATACAAATTGAAACATATTTCACAAAATAAATGGCTTATCATCTTTAAAAGCATAAAAGTTATGAAAGTCAAGAATAGGGTGAAATCAAGGACAGAAAGAAATTAAAAACATATAACAATTAAATGCAGAAATAAACCCAATTGGCACGTTTTTCTATAAATGAGTTATTGGCACAATTTGAAAACTTAAACAGAATATGCTGCTATTATTATAATAAAGCATCATATCTATTTCTTGGTTTTGATGTTTTATTATTGCTATGCAAGAATATATTTTTGCTCGTAGAAATGACACACTCAGATTTTCAGAGGCAGTGAAGCATGACGTCATGGTAACTTCCAAATTAAAAAAGGAAAGGTTGTACTAGTTTTACAAACTTTCTAAATATCAAATCATTTCAAATGAAAGGAAATAAAAATAATGCAAGAAATAATGTTTTCTAAATAAACATAGTATTATCCTCATTTTTCCAGCTGCTGAACAAGGTATAGTACCAGGGACCAGGTTAACTCACCTGACTCAAACAACCATAAAGCCAGAGGAAATATATGAAATTGTAGCATCCAAGATATTTGGATGCTGGTCAATGAAAAATAGTGATCCCTGAAAGATGGAAACAAATGAGGTGAGTCTTATTTTTTGATGGCCCTAGCTCACTGTCTTAAAAAGATTTCCAAATTAAAGTGAAGGGTAGGCAACCCCAAGAGAAGTTAAATGGAAGAGATGGCGCTTTCCTGAATTCATGAAAAGAACAATCCAAAAGGATTAGAGAAACCATGCTCAGGCACGGGCCTGGAATAGTTCCTGCTATTCCATAAAGGGCCAGGAATAGTGCCTGCTTCCAACAACCATGATGGGAAACCTCATAAGTCAGGGATATCAATTAGACTACCAAAAAGGGTTTTGACTCACTATCGGGGAACCATAGACTGATTACAGCTGTAAGTTGGATTAAGCTTAAAAAAAAAAAAGACCTGAAAAGATAAAATTGTTTGCAATTAGTTTAACTGCATCTCATAACAAAACTAAAAATATTTATTTCAATGAAAAAATACTCTGTACCACAAATGTAACATATAGTTTTTGATCAAATGTTTAGCATTTGATCAAAAACTGTATCACATGGAAAGTAACAGGAAGAATCTCTATAATGACAAAAAATGATTCTATCTAAACTATAGTAGGTATGTAACTGATGATAGATTTAATAAGCAAGGAGATTAAAACAGTTATTATAACTATATTCTGTTTGTTGAAGATAAAGGTAAAATGCTGAACATATTAAGTGGACAATGAAGATATAAAAATGACCCAATTGAACTTAGAAATAAAAACTAGTGTCTGAGAGGAAAAATACATTATTAGCAAGTATAGAATTGTAAATAAAACTAAAAGATTAATCTCACACTGTTATTCATATCTTTGATCTTTCCAGCTTTTTTTTCATCTTCACTATGCACTAGTTTCTGAGAGCAGTGTGTTAAATATTTGAAACTATTTCAGAACACTTGGTTTATTTGTTTTTCCCTGGAGCTCAGTCAGTTTATGCTTGATAGATGATATTTTGTTATTTGCCTTTAGGTTGATGACGGTTTTATGTGCTTTTCCAGTTGTTTCTTTTACTATTTTCTATTTCATTATCTTTCACTGATTTTTATATGAAAAAATATTATTATCTGTAACAATTAGAAACTCAGGATTTTTTTCTTTCATGTTTGCTATTTTTATCCTATATTACAAATTTTCAATTTTCCAGTTTTATTCCTTGGATTTTTTTTTCTTTTGACAAAACTATTCAACATATTGGTAAATCTTTTTAAACTAAAATGAGAGACTTCTGTTTTACCTAACAAATTTGTTTGTTCTGTATTTACTGTAAGTGCTGGCATACGAGTTCTTACTTTTGATCACTGTTTCTGCTTCTTCCTTGTTTCCTTATCTATTGGCTGGCTGTAGTTTTGTCTGTCTTAAAATCTATATAATTTTTTCTCGATTATTGATGTTGATCATTGCTTTATTTATTGACTGATTTTTTTAAGACAGGGTCTCACTTTGTCACTAAGGCTGGAGTGTAGTGGCATGATCACTCAGCTCACCACACAGCCTCATCCTCCCAGACTCAAGCAATCCTCTCATCGCAGCCTCCCAAGTAGCTAGGGCTACAGGTATGTACTACCACACTCAGCTAAATTTTTTATTTTTTATAGAGATGAGTTTCTCTATGTTGCCCAGGCTGATCTCAAACTCCTGGGCTCAAACAATCCACCAGCCTTGGCCTCCCAAAGTGCTGGGATTACAAACATGAGCCACTGCACCCAGCCCGATTATTTCTCTTAATTTAACACTTATAGTTATACTTACCCACTAATTTATTATCCTTATCAATATATATATTGTACAACAATATGGTTACTAGAACTTGTTCTCATTTTGCCTATCACTACCATACTGATATTATCCACATTTTGTTTTCTAGTTTGTTGTGGAATGTCTTGCTTTGGAATGAGTCTTTTGGACAGCAGTAAGTGTTCATAAACCCTTTGATTAAACTTCAATCCCATATCTCTATTAACATTTCTTGAATTTAGCTTTTTTTTTCTTTTGAGACGGAGTCTCGCTGTGTCGCCAGGCTGGAGTGCAGTGGTGCGATCTTGGCTCACTGGAATTTAGCTATTTTAAAACTCCATTCAAGAGTATTTTCAAAATGAGTTTCTGTTTGCTAATCATTCAGATGTCTAACATAACCAATGATTTTTTTTATTATTAAACTGTCATCCTTAAACAAGAATTTGGTTGGTTATAAAATTATAGGTTAAAAATTCTCTGCATTCATATATTGACCAGGGTAGGGAATATATGTTAGTATAATAAACTACCCTGAAATTTCACAATAAATTTTATTGCTTGGTCTCACTACAGTCTGAAGTAGATCAAGCTGTACTCCCAAGCATCCCTCTCAAAACAGTGACTTTAAAATCTAAGATCTAGAGAATAGGAAACTACTTTTTTACTGAAGTAGTCCATGAACGAAGAAGGATGTTAAACATTTAGTAAGTGGTCAAAAAATATCTATTGCATTAATTAAATGGTGAATAAAAATTAAATTAACAATAACTTATTGTATATTTAAAAATAACTTGGCCAGGCATGGTAGCTTATACCTGAAATCCTAACGCTTGGGAGGGCAAGGTGGGAGGATCATTTGAGCCCAGCAGTTGCAGACCAGCCTGGGCAACATAAGAAGCCCCCATCTCTACAAATTTTTTTTTTAATTAGCCAAGTGTAGTTGTGTGTGCCTGTCCTTCCAGCTCTTAGGGAGGCTGAGGTGGGAGGATTGCTTGAGCCCAGGAGGTCAAGGCTGCAGTAAGCCGTGATTGCACCACTGCACTCCAGCATGGGTGGCAGAGTGAGACCTTGCTTCAAAAAATAAAAAAGTAAATAATAAAAAATAATGAAAAGTGGAATTGGAATGTGTTTAATACAAAAAAAAGACAAAGGTTTGAGGCAATGAATACCCCAATTACCCTGATTTGATCATTACCCATTGTATGCCTTTATCAAAACATCACATGTACCCCATGCATATATTCAACTACCAGGTACTCAAAAATAATTAAAATTTTTTAAAGTAAATAAAAATATGAATAGAAAAATATAAAAAGTTTTTAGAGTCACAAGTCCCATGGAGGGAATAAATATTTATAATATAGTATGTGGTTTGTTTAATTTATCAAAATATGCTGTAGGAGTTGCTGTAAGAATTTCTTCTAATTCAGAGTACAATTAGTTTACATCTTTATCTGTGTGTGAATAGATGCCCAGACACATAATTATGTGATCTTTTTCTTAATAATGTGAGAAAAGTTTCAAAAAAACTTGTTAATTGAATGTTAGATGAGAACAATAGGGACTATAGAGTAAATGAATCTTATTATTTTCAAGTTATCTATCACTCCCCTTTTCTTTACCACTTCTTTCTCTAACTGTTCTCCATAGTTGTGGTAATATTTACTCTGAGTTTGCTCAATGTAGAAAATGAGGCTTATTTAGTCATTTGCTGTTATGGAATCAGTCCTCTTTACTTTTGTGTTATAAATTCAATTGTAATTTTTAAAGTAATATGCCAGTTCATACAATGTATATTTACATCAATAAATTCATTTGGCTATAGACATTTGACTATCTTACAAAAAGTCACAATCTTAATAACTAGAACCCTTATTGCTTACTTACGGTTGTAATGAAAGTTCATAACATAAAGAGACAGAAAATATAATTATATTTTCTAAGAATTATTTTTACTCAGCATCTATTTAATAAGTCAACACCCGATGTCATTAAGTCATTGTTCAAGATAGCACTAGTATGCCCTATTGAGGTACCTTTTCCTTCTTATACTTCTGACCCTAATCCCCAAATTGATGTTCCTTTCTCAAGGTGAATTTTCTGACATGTCATTAATTATTTTTCCATTTTGTTTAATCTTATTACCTGTGGTACTTTGTCAGATCTTTTGAATTTAGACACATGTGGTTGCTTGCTAGAGGGATTAAAACACGTCAGGAATCTCACTTTTCTTGACAACTACATTATGACACCTCTAGCATTGGCGTGTTTTACATTTTCATGTTTTTTTCTGATTTGATTGACACATTGCCTACAAATTGCAATAGCTCTTGAATATATTTTCTTGATTATACCCTCAAGAACTCCACCCCCTATAAGTGAGTATGCTCTGATTTTCAGAAGCAAATATTCTTGTAATTAAAAGAACACTCTGTTTTCCTTATTTAGCAGTGTCAAGGAATAGTTACTTATTTAGGATTAGAACTCTAAATTTTATTGGCTTATAAATACCATCATTCAGGTGATATTTGGAGTAAAAATTTCCCCATTCTATAGCATTTAGCTTTTAATTTATCCCAAAACCCATAGTATGCAGTAAATGTCTATTATGTAAGAATTACTGACTATAAGTCTTTTTTTTAAAAGGTGTATCTGAAAGAAACTTAATTAATACACTGAATTCACCTAGCAACATGCTGGGTTTACACCATAAATCATTTTCCAGAAGATAGCAAGGTGAAATGGAGACTACTTTAAAAATAACAGTTTGGCAATTTCTTTACAGATATGAAAATATAACTCTTGCCTTTCACCTTGAGACAGAGAGCCTGTCTAATAAAGGATGTGGATTCAAATAATTTGACCAAATAAAAAAATTATCTTGATCTCTATACTAGTTTCCTAGGGGGCCCAAATATCTTACCGCAAAACAACAGAAATTTATTCTTTTATAGTTCTGTAGGCAAGTTCAAAGTCAAGGTGCATTCAGGGTCATGCTCCCTTTGTAGGCTCTAGGGATGATTCTTTCCTTGCCTCTTCCTAGCTTCTGTTGGCTCCTAAGAATCCTTGCATTGCAGGGCTTGCTTCTGCATCATGCCAATCTCTACTTTCATCTTCAAATGACCTTTTCTCTGTGTCTCTATCTCTTGAATATTCGCCTTCTTTATTTTATAAAGATGTGGTCAGTGGGTTTAGAACCCACACTAATCCAGCCTGACCTCTTCTTAAGTAAGTACATCTGCAAAGACTCTGTTTCCAAATAAAGTCATATTCTGGGGTTCTAGGTAGACATGAATTTTGGGAAGATACTAATCAACTAATTATAGTCTCTATGAAGCAGATAAAATATAAGAAAACATTTCAAGCAAGTAAAGAATCTTACAGATAAACCATTTTTTAAAAGGTAATATCAACTCAATCATTCAATTGTCATAAATTCCTAGTAAGACTAGTACACCTACCTGCACCAGACTTACCTACACTGACTATCACAGCACACAAGGGACAGCCCAGTACTCCATGTGCTTTTTCTGAGACTGCCCCTTCCTTAGTGTTGATACTATAAGACTATTAATTGCAAACTAGCCACTGACAGGACAAATCATAAAAAAGAAGTTGTAATTAGAGCTGATTACCCACTCATTTCTAAGAGAATATCAGCACAAATCCCATCTGGATTGTATCCCCACCTCACTCACTTATTACTGGGTGCATACTCAAAAGATTATAAATCATTCTACTAAAAAGACACATGCACAAGTATGTTTATTGCAGCACTGTTCACAATAGCAAAGACTTGAAACCAACCCAAATGTCCATCAATGATAGACTGGATAAAGAAAATGTGGCACTTGGCCAGGCGCAGTGGCTCACGCCTGTAATCTCAGCACTTTGGGAGGCCAAGACAGGCGGATCACGAGGTCAGGAGATCGAGACCATCCTGACCAATACAGTGAAACTCCATCTCTACTAAAAATACAAAAAATTAGCCAAGCGTGGTGGTGGGTGCCTGTAGTCCCAGCTACTCGGGAGGCTGAGGCAGGAGAAAGGCATGAATCCAGGAGGCGGAGGTTATAGTGAGCCAAGATCGTGCCACTGCACTCCAGCCTGGGTGACAGAGCGAGACTCTGGCTCAAAAAAAAAAAAAAAAAAAAAAGGAAAAAAGAAAAAAAGAAAATGTGGGTGGCACTTATACACCATGGAATACTATGCAGCCATAAAAAAAGGATGATTTCATGTCCTTTTGCAGGGACATGGATGAAGCTAGAAACCATCATTCTCAGCAAACTAACACAAGAATAGAAAACCAAACACCACATGTTCTCATTCATAAGTGGGAGTTGAACAATGAGAACACATGGACACAGGGAGGGGAACATCACACACTGTGGCCTGTCAGGGGTTGGGGGGATAGCGTTAGGAGAAATACCTAATATAGATGATGGGTTGGTGGATGCAGCAAGCCACCATGGCATGTGTATACCTATGTAACAAACCTGTATGTGCTGCACATGTATCCCAGAACTTAAAAGTATATTAAAAAAAAAGAAAAGAAAAAAATACGGTCATTTTATAATTTGGTTTCCAAATCAGGGCAAGAGGGTGGAATAATAGTTATTGAAGATGGTAATGTGGAAGGAGGGTGAAGGACGAGAAATTACTTCGTGGCTACAATGTACAGTATTTAGGTGATGATTACTTTAAAAGCTCAGACTTCACTACTACACAATATGTCCATGTAACAACACTGCACTTGTTCCCCTTAAATTTATAGTAAAAAAAAAAAAAAGGACGGTGCAAGGAAACACTGTTAAAAATTACACTGAGACCACAGACATAAAAGAAGGTAGGAATCTGCCTGTTCTACCAATAATTGTGTCTCATTGGGACTTTGTTCCCAAGTCTCTACTTAGGCACTGAACTAAATACATGTGGGATTCCACTTTTCTCATTTTTCAAACCCTTGCAATGTGCCCTCCCAAACTTACATGGGCTATCACTGATAAAATGGAATTCCCAACCTCTGTCTTAGTGTTGCTGTCACCAGCTTGTTCTATCTCAAACCTGGCTGCAACCCCATCCAACAGAGACTATACTGACATTTCTTCTAGTAAGGATGTTGAAGTTGAGGTAGATGTCTTCCTTCTTTTCCCTTGAAAACTTCTTTGCTTGAAAATGCCATTCACTTAACAAGACACAACCTCACACTACACCACTGATACATCCTATGCTTTGTTGGTTATCCAATAACCTCCAAGTCATTCCCCATCCTTTCTTGAAAATTTTATTATTTAGTTCACTATTTCCCTCTCCAGCACTACTTCTGTGGCAATTTTAGTGACTAAAAATTTCAATGGTATTCTCCACCTCCACCCTTGTTATTCAGTTCTTTGGGTTTACTACTGCTGACAATAGTAACCTTCACCTCTTGACAGCCACCCCTCCCACATGAGACATCACTGTTACCCATGAAAATCTCAGTTTTCAGCACCCACTATCAAATCATCCCTGTGTACTAGGCTATTCTTATTAGCATACAAACATGCTGTCATATTTCTTACTTACAGAAGAAAAACAATTACTACATCCACCTCCATCTCTGTCTCCTAATCTAGTTCATGTTGCAGTACAAACACAACTCACTAGAAGTGTTGTCTACAATCTCTGCCGAATTGCCCTCTGTAGTCACATTACACTTTCTTTCTTTTTTCTTTCTTTCTTTTTTTTTTTTTTTTGAGACAGAGTCTCACTCTGTCGCCCGGGCTGGAGTGCAGTGGTGCGATCTCGGCTTACTTCAAGCTCCACCCCCCGGGTTCCCGCCATTCTCCTGCCTCAGCCTCCCAAGTAATTGGGACTACAGGCGCCCGCCATCACGCCTGGCTAAATTTTTGTGTTTTTAGTAGATACGGGGTTTCACCGTGTTAGCTAGGATGGTCTCGATCTCCTGACCTCATGATCCGCCCATCTCGGTCTCCCAAAGTGCTGGGATTACAGGCGTGAGCCACTGCGCCTGGCCACCACATTATACTTTCATCCCAATAACTCTACCAGGTACAAGGGAGGGGGAAATCTCTTATCATCACAGCCAAAAATGTTCTTCTTGGATCTCTCAGTAGCACTGGCACATAATCACGCTTTCCTTCCTTCTTGAAATACCTGCTTCGCTCAGCATCCGGGACACTTTACCTTCCTGCCTGTCCTCCGACTTCACTGTCAAGCCTTCCTCAGTATGCTTTGATGAATCATCAACATTGAGTTGTACCAAGACTTAGTACTGTGCCTTTTTCCTTTCTGTCTCTGTTTTCACTCCCTGAGTCGTATTTTCCCTGCTCCTGGCTTGATCTTTCTTTTATACAGTATTGATTTTCACAATAGTGAGAAGTTTTATTCACAACTTGTGCATCTTTGTCCATAGCTGCTCACTCCTATTCAATTACTTAGTCATCATCCATGCTTGGAAGTCAAATGTGTATCTCAAGTTTAACAAAGCCAGGACAAAACTCTTATTACCGCCACACACCTTTTTAAATTCATCAATCTCCTAATAAATATCTCCATCATTCACCCAGTTAGAGTAAATATTTAGAAATCATTGTTGAATCCTTTCTCTTTCTTTCTTACATCACATTCATTAACACTGATGATCCTTCTTTCAAAATAGGCAATCAGACTACTTCTTTCCATTCATTACCACCCTAGCTTAAGTTACAATCATAGCTCTTGTAAGTGACAAATATAGTCTCCTTACAGCCATTTCTTCCACCATTTTTGCCTGAAATCCATGTAAACATGGGCATCCTCTGTCATCTTTTTTCAAAGGCAAATAAAATTCAATCCGTCCCTTGCTAATTCTATCACACTTAAAACAAAATGCCAAATGCTTACTGCAATCTCTGCCTGCTGGGTTCAAGTGATTCTCCTGCCTCAGCCTCCCGAGTAGCTGGGATTACAGGCACATGCCACCATGCCCAACAAATTTTCGTATTTTTAGTGGAGATGGGATTTCTCCATGTTGGCCAGGATGGTCTTGAACTCCTGACCTCAGGGTGATCAGCCCACCTCGGCCTCCCAAAGGGCTGGAATTACAGCCCGCCTATTTCTTATTAATTTAGTCTTAGTAGATTGTATGTGTCTAGGATTTTTTCTGTTTTCTCTAGATTGTCTAATTTGTGGTCATATAATTATGCATAGTAATTCTTATTATATATATAATTTATTTAATTTCTGTTGTAAATGTTGTAATGTCTTCTCTTTTATTTCTTATTTTATTTATTAAAATCTTTCTCTCTTGTTTTCTTAGACTACCTAAGAGTTTGTTAATTTTGTTTCTTTTCAAAAAGCCAACTCAGTTTTATTGACTTTTTAAATTATTTTTCTATTGTTGATTTCATTTATTTCTGCTCTAATATTCATTATTTCCTCCCTTTTAATAACTTTGTGCTTAGTTCAACTTGTTTTTTTCTAGCTCCTTGAGATGTATAGTTAGGTTGCTTATTTGAGATCTTTTTTCATTTTTAATGAAGGTATTTCTCCATAAACTTCCCTTTTAGTATCTCCACAAACTTCTCTCTAACTACCTGTTTTGCTGCACCCCACAAGTTTGGGTAAGTTTTGTTTTGTTTTCATTTGTATTGAAGTATTTGTAATTTCCTTTTTGATGTTTACTTTGACCCAATGATTGTTCAAAAGTCTGTTGTTTAATTTCCATATATTTGTGCTTTTTTTTTCATTTTCCTTTTGTCGCTGGTTTTTAGTTCCTTCATTGTGTTCAGAAAAAAATCCTTAGAATGATTTCAATCTTCTTAAATCTCTCACAAAACAGGTGACCTAGCATGTGATCCATCTTGGAGAATATTCCAAGAGCATTTGAGAAGAATGTGCATCTTGGCGCTGTTGGATGGAGTGCTCTGGATGTGTTAGGTTCATTTGTTCTATAGTGTTTTCATGCATGTTATTTTTATTATTACCAGTACTCTAAGATTTATAAAACTTTAAATTAGCTAAAAAGCAGTGAAAGACAGAGATAACTTGAAAGGGTACATTAGATAGAATGCTCGCTAATCTTTTAACCCACTTCAAATGTTTTTTTTTTCTTGAGACAGTCTCCCTTTGTTGAGTAGCTGGGATTACAGATGTGCACCACCATGCCTGGCTAATTTTTGTATTTTTAGTAGAGATGGGGTTTCACTATGTTGGCCAGGCTCGTCTCGAACTCCCAACCTTGGGTGATCTGCCCGCCTCAGCCTCCCAAAGGTCTTGGATTACAGGCGTGAGCCACCATGCCTGGCCTCAAAATCTTTCATACTTTTTCTTTGAGAACAGTCGCTATTGTCCCCTTTTCCTCCCAATATTCATTACCTTTCCCCATTGAAACTATTAAGCCATAGATATGTGCTGTGTATTCATGTTTTTATTGTCTGTCTCCCACCATTAGAACACAAGCTCCATGAGAGCATAAAATTTTAAATATCCTGGCACATAGTAGTTAATCATGTTTTTAAAGGGTGAAGGAATGCAAATATTTCATAATATATCTTAATGTTTATATGTCTCTCTCTCTCTCTCTCTATATATATATATATGTATATATGTATGTATTTTTTTTGTGGGGGGGTGGGACAGGGTCTTACTTCCATTGCCCAGGCTGGAGTACAGTGGCACAATAAGGCTCACTGCTCCCCCAACTTCCCAGGCTCAGGTGATCCTCCCACTTCAATGTCCTGGGTAGGTGGAACTACAGGCATGCACCACCATGCCTAAGTAGTTTTTTATATTTTTAGTAGATATGGGATTTCGCCATGTTTCCCAGACTAGTCTCACACTCCTGGGCTCAAGTGATCTGCCCACATTGCCCTCCTACATTGCTGGGATTACAGGCATGAGCCACCACACCCAACCCATGGATTTTTTATTTTAGGGAATATTTTATTGTCTGATATATCAATTCCTCTAGAAAGCCTTGACTGGCATTCTCTCTGAAGTCCCATAATACTTTTCACATACAATTGTCTGCCTGTGGGCCTGTGACTGTCAGAAGAGTGAGTTCTTTGGAGTGCAAGAAGCAACTAGGCTTTTACATCTATTTCCCTAGTTTCTAGCATACTGTCTACATTAGACAAGGTGCTCAGTTTATATTCTCTGAATGAACAGAATACAAGGTCATATAAAGAAATAGCTGAAAATAATTTGCCCAAAATATCAGCCTTAAAATCCAGACAAGAAGAGAATAACCATTAGAATTAATAAATATGTAGCCACAATAAAATATTCTGCCTCACAATAATTTCACCAAAGTTAGAAAAAGTACCAATTTTAAAAATTAATTTAAATGGGCTATGTACTACTATGAAGCAAGGTTGAAGGTATTTCCCTAACTTAAAGTGAAATATGACATATTACAGATTAACTTTGCAGCATATTTTCCATGTAAGTTATACATTCTATGAAACAGATAAAGAGACCTGATAACTATTAAAATCAGAGGAAAGAGGATAAAGGCATCACACAGGAGCAGAGTGTACAATCAGATGTAAAATAATCAGTGGACTATAGAAAGGTGGCATTTGAAAAGAAATTACAAATCAGTAGGAATTAATGGCTCTTTCTTTGCGATAATATCTACTGATTTGATTACCAAGGAGATTGTTAGACACATGGGTTTTTATGTCAGAGAAATTTCTAAAAGATGGTGATAGCAAGCTTAATACCAGCATTTAAAGAAGTATATGTTGGAAGTAGGACACCAAATATATAATTCCTTGATTTGATGTAAAAATATTTAATTTTCTAAGAACTAGGATGCAAACTTAGTGTTACAAGGTTTGTAAATGATGTCATTCTGTTCCGAATTGTAATAACATGTTACAAGGTACAGTTAAGAAGATGATATGTACCTAAAATTATTTGCAGGGTTTTTGGTCTATTTATATTTCTGAGTATCTTCCTTTTATATGTGTGGATGCACACACACACATACATACATACATACACATAAAACAGGTCACATTATATATTTAAATGTATATCTATTTGTATGGATTCACCAAATTATTTACTAGATGGGTAATATATGCTAAATGTGATATGAAAACATGAAGGGAAATAAGACAGTTTGGCCCCATAGGTACTTGGCGTCAGTGTCAGGAGAAGAATATGTTAAAAAGTACTAGAGGCCAGGCATGGGGGCTCACACCTGTAATCCTAACAATTTGGGAGGCCGAGGGGGTGGAATACCTGAGGTCGGGAGTTCAAGACCAGCCTGGCCAACATGGTAAAACCCCTTCTCTACTAAAAATACAAAAAATTAGCCTAGTGCAGCGGCATGCGTCTGTAATCCCAGCTACTCTGGAGGCTGAGGCAGGAGAATTGCTTGAACCCAGGAGATGGAGGTTGCGGTGAGCCGAGATCACACCACTGCCCTCCAGCCTGGGCTACAGAGTGAGACTTCGTCTCAAACAAAACAAAACAAAACAAAACAAAACAAAAAAGTATTAGTGCATGCAGTAAATGATCTTTGTTAGATATTTACATAACAATCTGCAAAGTCCAGGGAAATGAGTGTTGGATGATATTTACTGAAGGGTTTTTACTGCCTTTGTAGCAAAGAAGGCACATGAATGTACTCTCTAAGAAAGAGAAAGAACATAGTTGTATAGGGCATACAAAAAAAAGTAATGTTAAATTAGAAAACAGCGCATGCAAAGGCATGAAGGAATTCAAGAGTGAGGGACACTTGGAAAAATCACATGCAGATCAGTATGACTGCTTATTTACAGATATGCACAGATATCCGAGATTTAAATATATGCATGCGTATTGCTTTCCATTATTCACATATTTAGATACATACTCTTCTCTATTTTTTTCCTGATTGTAAAAAGAAAAAAGCACTTATTTTTCAGGGGCACACGATGAAACCTGGCTACTTTCTTAAGCACCAAAGCAACAGAGCAATATAATCCAACCTAAAAGGCACAGGACGCTCTACTCCTCATCATTACTCCATGAAATAGTTTGTCTATTTGTGAGGAAGACATTTCCCTTCTAAATTGAGATTCCAAACAGCTGTCATAAAATGGAGATGCTTCATGCTTGAATTTTATTTATATATTTAGTTAATTATTAATCATAGTCACAGTTGTTATTTCTTACTGTGTCCTGGGAGTAGGTGATTCCCTACCCCTATCCCAAGTTCAAAAAAAAAAAATCAAAATAGGGGAATCAAATTAAATCATGATTTACTGGTTCCAGCTGTATTCAGAAAAGCATTTTTGTCATTTTTTAAAATTCTAAACACCTTAAAAAGCATTTGCATCTTCAATGCTATGGAAAGTCATGTCTATCTCTGCGGGCCATATTTGATGGAAATTTTTTCAGTAGGTCTGACAGCAGAGAACACAGTACTGTAGCTCACACCTCACCAATGTAATTTGGAGTGTTAATTGGAAAGAACTTAGCTGCCCCTGTGATTTCTGCTCTCTAAGAATTGGTGACAATATGTCCCATCTTTCCTTTCGAAGTCTAGTAGGCAGAAAAGATGAGGATTGTAGGGAATTTGTCTGAAGAGGAAAGCCATAGAGAATGTGGCAGAGAGAAGAGAAATGTAACCAAACCAAAAAAATGATTGCTTGGTGAAAATAAATGAAAACAAATTGTATCACTTCTGAAATGAAAGTTTAAGCAAATGAACTAGAGTGATTATGGCTAGTCAGCTTCTAGTCATGATTTTTTAAAGATAAAGTCAAGAAGGAAACCTCAGAAGTTTTATGACAGAAGAGTCAAGCAAAACAAAAAGAAAGGGACTTTTAGCTTCTCAACAGTAAGTCTATGAGAATAAAAGAAGCGGTTAAATTCTCTTTGCAAAACACTGCTCTGCATTCTGAAAATAATAGCTAACACAACTTAAATAAATGCAAAATGTCAGTCACTGTTCTAAGCACTTTGCAAGTGCTTAACAATGTAACCGCCTCAAAACTTTATGGGACAGGTTACTATTATCACCGGTGTTTTCCAAGAAAAGGAAAAAAAAATACATATAGGGCAAGTAAATGTAATATCCTATGGTAGCACAGCTAGCAGGTGAAGCTGGCTTCATGAAGAGGCAGTAATTTATTACAGACACCTTGGCTTGAGGGGCTTCCTGTGATTAATTACTGTGAAGAATCACTACTACGTCTCAATTTTCTAAAAGAAGGACAGAAAGGCTCTTTATGAAAAAAAATAAATGACCTATTAGTTTAGCAAAACTGACATGGAATTGGAATTGAGTCATTTAAAAATGTCATCTATTTGAATACTGGCTAAGCTCTTGATAACGTTAGACATAGTGGAGGGCATAGATATTGAATGAGTAAGAGATGGTACACTGAAATTGACATTGATGCCTCAGTGGTAGCGAACCTTACCATCTATAATAAGCCTCTTCACAAACCACCAAGTTGGACGGTTAATCAACTTGTTAATACAATTGTAAACTTCTGGGGTCTATGTATTTCATGTTTGAATTCTCAGGACAAAAATTCCTGCCACGTGATTACCTAGCTTAGCTGGATCATCTTCTGTGACAGAGATTACCTACCTTTCAGAGCAAAATTTCAGTTCAAATTTTGTATTAAATTGAACTGAAATCAGTGGCCCTGTAGCATTTAAAATTGGACTCAATTCTACCTCCGGTGAATGATTCTCCTAGGTAGATCGACATACCTACCTTATCATTGTCATAAAATATTGGATGTTTTCAGTTTATAAAATTATCTTTAATTAGTAGTTGATGTAGCTGCAAAAATCACCACTTATCTAGTGGAAAATGTGAAGTTATTTGAAGTGCTGAAAGGTATTTTTTCAATTAAGGTAACCACATTCTCACTTCTCAGTTGCAGCTTTTGAAGTGCATCCATTTTATATTTCATCCTATAAATGAAGGCAAAGAGTGTTTTCAAAGAGATAGAACAGAAAACTCGCTAAACAGGATTGCTTTATTTCCTAGAGTCATGTCTTTCAAATGGCTTCCTGTTAGGGAACTGTCTTTCTCATCCAGCAAATTTAGATATCATCCAGACTAGAGAAGCATGAGGAGATTAATTTCAAAATTCTGTAAAATATAATCTAGGAATAGAAGTAAACAGCAATTTCTGAGGCCTAGGGAAGGACATTCTAAGCAAACTAAGAGTACATGAGGAAACTGAGGTACTGGTGATGAGGGATGGGGCAGAAGAAGTCATAAATAGAGAAACAAAAGAAATAGAAGAGACGCACCACAGCATTTTTAAGCCCCAAGTGAACACTTTTATCACTCATAAAAGTAGCCTGTTTAAGGAGTAAAAATTTACTCTGTGTAAATGGCATAGCATATGCAAACAGAAATATACTTGTTTAGAGAGTATGCTGTGCAAAATGAAATAAGAAATCGACAATATTTTTCTTGTAAGACTACTATCACCACCAACTACTAAATAGATTGAGAAATTATTCCTACTCATGGTCTTAAATTTTTATAGATGTTCCTAAAATGCTCATTTAGCTCACCTCTGGTAACAGATTGTACAGAATGATTTATAAATGGGGCTGATTTCCATATCACTGATGGATGCTTTATTCACTTAATGATCACTGGCAAGTGGCAGCTACTATAAAATTTCAAGTGTCACTAATAGGACTTTTAGCTCTGACACTATAAAATAAAATGTGTGAGCTTTTTTTTTTTTTTAAAGGCATAAAGCCTAAAAAGCTTCAAAACCTAAACAAACAAACAAAAGACCTTCATTTTTCAAGATACTAAATGTTTTAGACCTAAGATGGTTTTTCCAAATACATGATTACTGTATTTTCAGGCAATAAACCTGCAAGCCAAGATGAATATATTAAGGATTGATAGTACGCTAAGTTGCATATAATTAGGAAAGAAACTTTGAAATAAAAACAAAAAAAGAAACCTTCTCTTTTCCAAAACTGTCTGCATAAATATTACATCCAAGTAGCTGATGCTTCATTATCATAATAACAACAAAATGAATGTTATATTCACTGTATGACAGGTACTAGATGTTATTTTCACGTGTTTATTTCACATATATTGAATTTATGTAATTTTAGAAATTTGGAGTTAAAAATCTTTTTCAAATATGCCCTTAATATATCTTGCTGTTTTTGTACAGAGGATATGAAAATAGGTGATTTTAAAGGTCCGAGAGTCCAACTAATGCAGTAAGTGAGAGGCTTTTGTCAAATTGACTCATCTATCAGTGAGTTGGGGAGTTACACTGAGAGGGATGGGTGCGTGCATAGCCTTGTTTTTCAATTTGATAGAGGATGCCATGCACCTAAATGTGTTGAGTGGCTCTTGAGGCCTCAGTAGTCTCATCTGGGTACTGAGGCAGGTGGACAAGCAGCTCAAAGGACTGTGACATCTCATACATTAAATTTACATTCTATAAACCCAGAACTTAAAATGGAATAGGCACAAATTTAAAACAGACAAATATACAATGAACTGTCATCTCCTTCAAAAATCTGACCACCATTGTTTTATAACTGCAATTATTAGGGAGTATACAGGGACTTGGTATTAGAACTTGTGAGCATCAGGTCCCAAAACACAAACCCGACCCCACTTTGTTTTCAGCACAGGGACTTGGTATAGAACTTGTGAGCATCAGGTCCCAAAACACAAGGCCAAGGCCATTTCCTTGTTTTCAGCATGCATCTTAGCTATGTCAGGCAATGGTTAAATAGCCAAGCGTGATGGCTATTTAAAGATGTACTAGTATTTAAAAAAAAAAATTTTCTTTGCCCATTTTCAAGAAAGAAAAAGACTTCCAATCTGCCTTACTTTGCTCTATTGTGTTTACTTATCTGGAGCTCTTGTCACTTCAATGGACTTTTTTTATTTATCACATGTATTGTTTAGTATCTATCTACTACAATAATATATAAGCTCTTTGAAAAAAGTGTTTCTTTCTTCTCTTTTCATTACCAGTTTACCCTTAATGCAGAGAATAGTGGATGGCTCATAGTAATTGATTTAAGTATATATATTTTAACAGTCTCATGTTCTGCTGACTGAGCCTGCTGGGCATGAGTATGAGGATATATACTTCAATAAATAAATGCAATTTGTTCTATAGCTAGTTTTCTTTGGGGATCTATATGAGAGCAACACTTATTCTTAAATGTTTAACTTTAACATATTTTTTCTATATAGATAGATTTGCAAATGTTGACAGGATTGCCACAAATACATTATCAATGCATTCTGATAAATACTGATACTTTGTAGCATATTCTCATTCATAATGATAACCAGTGTTCATAATGAGTACTTTCTTTTACAATCTGTTTGGAAGCCACCAGAAGTTTGTGTGTGTATGTACCTTCCATCTTTACCCTGATCGTTACATATATGAGGAAACAGGTTTGTAGAAGGTGCTAGGTAAGTGCAAAATAAGCTGGAATAAAACACATAAGTGCTAGTGTAATCAACAATATTTGTTCTTTTGTGCTTGGCTTATTTCATTTAGCATAATGTCTTTAAGGTTCATTCATGATGTAGCTTTGTCAGATTTTCCTGCCTTTTTAAGACTGAATAATAACCCATTGCCTGTATATACCACATTTTTTTTTAAATTTAGCTTTCATTTTAAGTTAAGAGATACATGTGCAGGTTTGATATATAGGTAAATGTGTGTCTTGGGGGTTTGTTGTACAGAGTATTTCATCATGCATTTACTAAGCCTAGTACCCATTAGTTATTTTTTCCAATTTTCTCCCTCTTCCTAGCCTTCCAACCTCTGATAGGCCCCAATGTCTTTTGTTGCCCTCTATGTGTTCATGTATTCTCATCATTTAGCTCCCACTAATAAATGAGAACATGTTGTATTTGGTTTTCTGTTCCTGCATTAGTTTATTAAGGATAATGGCCTCCAGCTCCACCCATGTTTCTGCAAAGGGCATGATCTTGTTCATCTTTTGTGACTGCACAGTATTCCATGGTGTATATGAACCACATTTTCTTTATTCAGTATAGCATTGATGGACATTAGGTTGATTGCATGGCTTTGCTACTGTGAATAGTTTTGCAATGAACACACACATGCATGTGTCTTTATAATAGAACAATTCATATTCCTTTGGGTAGATAGCCAGTATTGGGAGTGCTGGGTCAAATGGTATTTCTGTTTTTAGGTCTTTGTGGAATTGCCACAGTGTTTTCCACAATTGTTGAACTAATTTACATTGCACTAACAGTGTATAAGCACTCCTTTTTTTTTCCCATAACCTCACCAGCATCTGTTATTATTTGACTTTTTAATAATAATCATTCTGCCTGATGTGAGATAGTATCCCATTGTGATTTTGATTTGCATTTCTCTAATGATCAATGATGTTGAGCTTTTTTTCATAATGGTTAGGTGCATATATGTCTTCTTTTGAAAAGTTTCTGTTCGCATCCTTTGCCTACATTTTTTTTTTTTTTTTTTTTTTTTTTTTGAGACGGAGTCTCGCTCTGTCGCCCAGGCTGGAGTGCAGTGGCGGGATCTCGGCTCACTGCAAGCTCCGCCTCCCGGGTTCACGCCATTCTCCTGCCTCAGCCTCCCAAGTAGCTGGGACTACAGGCGCCCGCCACTACGCCCGGCTAATTTTTTGTATTTTTAGTAGAGACGGGGTTTCACCGTTTCAGCTGGGATGGTCTCGATCTCCTGACCTCGTGATCCGCCCGCCTCGGCCTCCCAAAGTGCTGGGATTACAGGCGTGAGCCACCGCGCCCGGCCTGCCTACATTTTAATGGAGTTTATTTTCCTTTTTGTTTTGTAAATTTGTTTAAGTTTCTTATAGATGCTAGATATTAGATTTTTGTCAGGTGCTTAGTGTGCAAAAATGTTCTCCCATTCTATAGGCTGTCTCTTCACTCTGTTGATAGTTTCCTTTATTGTGAAGAAGTTCTTTAGTTTAATTAGATCCTATTTGTCAATTTTTGATTTTGTCGCAATTGCTTTTTGTGTCTTTGTCATGAAATCTTTGCCTGTTCCTATATTGAGAACGGTATTGCCTAGGTTGTGTACCATGGTTTTTAAAGTTTTGGGTTTTAGATTTAAGTCTTTAATCCTTTTTGAGTTAATTTTTGTATGTCATATAAGGAAGGGGTCCAGTTTCAATCTTCTGCATATGGTTAGCCAGTTATCGCAGCATTATTCATTGAATAGGAATCCTTCCTCCATTGCTTGTTTTTGTCAAGTTCATTGAAGATCAGATAGCTGTAAGTGTGTGGCCTTATTTCTGGATTCTCTATTCTTTTCCATTGGTCTGTGTGTCTGTTTTTGTACTAGTACCATGCTGTTTGGGTTACTGTAGCCCTTTAGTATAATTTGAAGTGAGGTAGCATAATGCATCCAGCTTTGTTCTTTGTGGTTAGAATTGCCTTTCCTTTCTTTTGGGTTCCATGTAGATTTTAAAAGTTTTTTTCTAGTTCCATGAAGAACGTCAATGATAGTTTAATAGGAATAGCATTGAATCTGTAAATTGTTTGGGGCAGTATGGCCATTTTAGTGATACTGATTCTTCCTATCCATGAGGATGGAGTGTTTTTTCATTTGCTGTGTCATCTCTGATTTCTTTGTGCACTGTTTTGTTGTTCTCCTTTTAGAGATCTTTTGCTTTCCTAGTTAGCTGTATTCCTAGGTATTGTATTCTTTTTGTGGCAATTGTGAATGGGAATCCATTAACTGATATGGCACTTGGCCTGGCTGTTTTTGGTGTATAGGAATGTATGTAATTTTTGCACACCAATATTGTATCCTCAGAATTTTTTTAAGTTGTTTATCATTTAAAGGAGCTTTTGGGCTGAGAATATGGGTTTCTCTACATACAGGATTATGTCATCTGCTAACAGGGATAGTTTGCCTTTTTCTCTTCCTATTTGGATGCCCGTTATTTATTTATCTTGCCTGATTGACCTGGCTAGGACTTCTAATACTATATTGAATTGAAGTGGAGAGAGAGGGCATCCTTGTCTTGTGCCGTTCTCAAGGGGAATGTTTCCAACTTTTGCCCATTCAATATGATGTTGGCTGTGGGTTTGTTACAGATGGCTCTTATTATTTGAGGTAAATTCATTTAATACTTAGATTATTGATACTTTTTAACATGAAGAGGTGTTGAATTTTATTGAAAGACTTTTATGCATCTATTAAGGTAATCATGTGGTTTTTGTCTTTAGTTCTGTTTACGTGATAAATCACATTTATTGATTTGGGTACATTGAATCAACTTTGCATCCCAGGAATAAAACCTACCTAATTGTGGTAGATAAGCTTTTTGATGTGCAGCTGGATTCAGTTTGCCAGTATTTTGTGGAGGGTTTTTGCATTGATATTCATCAAGGATATTGGTCTTAAGTTTTCTTTTTTCTATGTGTCTCTGCCAGGTTTTCATATCAGGATGATGCTGGCCTTATGTAATGAGTTAAGGAGGCGTCCCTCCTTCTCAATTTTTTTGAAATAGTTTCAGCAGGAAAGGTACCAGCTCTTCTTTGTACATCTGGTAGAATTCGATTGTGAATCCATCTGGTCTTGGGCTTTTATTTTTTGGTTGGTACCCTATTTATTACTGACTCAATTTTAGAACTCATTATTAGTTTGCTCAGGAATTAAATTTTTTCTGGTTAGTCTTGAAAGGGTGTATGTTTTCAGGAATTTCTCCATTTCTTCTAGATTTTCTAGTTTATGTGCATAGAGGTGTTCATAATATTTTCAGATGGTTGTTTTTATTTCTGTGGGGTCAGTAGTAATATCCTTTTTGTTCTGTCTCACTTTTTTGCTTTGTTCATCTAGCTAGTGGTCTATTTTCTTTTTTTCATAAAAACAGCTATTGGATTTGTTGATCTTTCGAATGTTTTTTTTTGTCTCTATTTCCTTCAGTTCAGCTCGGATTTTAGTTATTGTCTTCTGATAGCTTTGGGGTTGGTTTGCTCTTGTTTTTCTAGTTTTTTTGTTTTTTTTTTTTTTAGTTGTGATATTAGGCTGTTAATTTGATATCTTTCTAACTTTCTGATTTGGGAATTTAGTGCTACTAATTTCCCTCTTAACCATGTCTTAGCTGTGTCCCAGAGATTCTGCTATGTTGTATCTTTGTTCTCATTAGTTTCAAATAACTTCTTGATTTCTGCCTTAATATAATTATCTATGCAAAAGTCATTCAGAAGCAGATTTTTCAATTTTAATGTAATTGTATTATTTTGAATGCATTTCTTAGTCTTGATTTCTAATTTGATTGTACTGTGGTCCAAGAGATTATTCACTAGGATTTCAGTTCTTTAGCATTTGTTGGAGAGTATTTTGCCTTCAAATATGTGATTGATTTGAAAGTATGTGCCATGTGGCCATGAGAACAATATATATTCTGTTGTTTTGGGCTGGATAGTTCTGTAGATATCTATTAGGTCCATTAGATCCAGTGCTGAGTTCCAGTCCTGAATATCTTTGTTAATTTTCTGTCTCGATGATCTTTCTAATATTGTCAATGGATTTTTAAAGTCTCCCACTACTATTGTTTCAGAGCCTAAGTCTCTTTGAAGGTTTCTAAGAACTTGCTTTAGGAATCTGGGTGCTCTTGTATTGGGTGCATATATATTTAGGATAGTTAAGTCTTCTTGCTGAATCGAACCCTTTATCATTACGTGGTGCCCTTCTTGGTCTTTTCTGATCTTTATTCGTTTAAAATCTGTTTTGTCTGAAATTAGAATTGCAATCCTTGCTTTTTTTTTTTCAATTTGCTTGGTAGATTTTTCTCCATCCCTTTGTTTTGACCCTATGTGTGTCATTGCATGTGAGATGGGTCTCTTTAAGACAGCATACAAGTGGGTCTTGGTTCTTTATCCAACTTGTCACTCTATGTCTTTTAATTGGGGCATTTACATTCAATACTAGTATTGTTATGTGTGGATTTGATCCTGTCATTATGGTGTTAGCTGGTTATTTTACAGGCTTGTTTATGTTGTTGCTTTATAGTGCCACTGGTCTGTACTTCAGCATACTTTTGTAGTGGCTGGGAATTGTCTTTCCTTTCCATACTTAGTGCTTCCTTCAGCTCTTGTAAGGCAGGTTTGCTAGTAAAGAATTCCCTCAGCATTTGCTTATGTGAAATGGATCTTGATTCTCCTTCCTTATGAAACTTAGCTTGGCAAGATATGAAATTCTGAGTTGAAATGTTTTTTAAGAATATTAAATATTGACCTCCAATCTCTTATGGCTTGTAGGGTTTCTGCTGAGAGGTCCACTGTTAGTCTAATGGGCTTCCTTTTGTAGGTGACCTGACTTTTCTCTCTAGCTTCCTTTTACAATTTTTCTTTCCTTTTGATCTGGGAGAATCTGGTGATCATATCTTGGAGATGATCTTCCTGTGAAATATCTCACTGAGTTTCTCTGTATTTCCTGAATTTGAATGTTGGCCTCTCCAACTAGGTTGGGGACGTCAAATAGATCATATGTTTTCTAAATTGGGTCCATTATCCCCATCTCTTTCAGGAACACCAATGAGTTGTAGATGTGATCTCTTTACATAATCCCATATTTATTGGAGATTTTGTTCATTTCTTTTCATTCTTTTATTTAATATTCTTGTCTGACTGTCTTATTCATTAAGCCAGTCTTCATAACCTGAGATTCTTTCCTCCACTTGATCAATTCTGTTATTAATACTTGTGATTGCATTGTGAAATTATTGTAGTGTGTTCTTCAGTTCTATCACATACGTTACGTTTTTTTTCACACTGGCTGTTTTGTCTGTCAACTCCTTCATTGTGTTATCATGATTTTTAATGCCATTTGATTGGGTTTTAATTTATTCCTGTAGCCCAATGATCTTCATTCCTATCCATATTCTGAATTTTTTTCTGTCATTTTAGCCATCTTGGCCTAGTTCAGAACACTTGCTGGAGAGGTGCTGTAGTCATTTAGGAAAGCAGGCAATACAGCTTTTTGAACTCTCAGGGTTCTTGTGCTAATTCTTTCTTGTCTTTGTGGGTTTATCTGCTGTCAATTTTCAGGTTGCTGATGTTTGGATTATTTAACTTTTACCCTATTTGATGAACTGGAGGGTCTGATTGTGGTGCAAGGTGGATTCAGTCAACTTACTTCATTTCTGGAAGATTTTAGGGGGCCATCATTCAGCACCCAACTTCTGGACTGCAGCCTCTAACTCTGGGGACTTGTATTGGGCCTCAACTTTGTTCTCTGGCTCCTGGAGATTAGGAATCCACTGTTCTTGAAGAGGGGGCAAGGTGCTCACAAACTGCTGGTCACTGTACTCTCATAGGTGGTATCAGCAAAAGCATTTTATTGGCACTGACAGCAGGATTTGTCTTTGTAGCAGCAGCTTGGCAGAGTGCTAGTGGGTACTGGGGTGTCTGCCTCTGGGTGTTCACCACAGTGGCAGAGGCAATGCAGCTGGGAGTGTGCAGGAGAACCCTTGCTGGCAACTTTGTGCGTGGTCATGCTGGAGGTGGTGTTGCCTCAGGGTTGGCACACTGGTGGTTGCCGGTCTGGGTGCCTTCAAAATGCCCTGATAGAAGAAGTGATTGCTCAGGGTGTGGGAGGATCCCCTGCTCTCTGCATAGTGTTAGCGCAAGGCTGGCTGGCTCTGTGCCTACCAAGACTCTGCAATGGTGGTTGGTGGAGTAGGGGGCATGGACTGCATTCCTTTGAGCTGGCTGGGCAAGGAAAGCAAAACCTGCCTGTGCAGAAATGAGTCAGCAAAACAATGTGAGGAGTTGCCATGGGCCTGGGGGAAGGTACAGTATGGGGAAGGAGTGGGAAGGCTGATTCATGACCTTTGGGACTGCCCCCATGGAGCTCTCCACTGGTCAGGCATGGTCCACCAACACAGAAGCTATGGTGTAGGCTCCAAGGGCACTCAAGATTGCCCTGTAAGCAAGCGTGGCCAAACTGGGGCACCAGGAGAGGCAAGGAGACCAAGGAGTGCTCAGGTTGGATTGGCCCCCTCTGGTGGGCAAGACTGCCTTGCAGACTTCAGGTTTGACAGTTCCCTTAGGGCTAAAGTCTCCTATGGGAGAAAGTAAAGCCTAGAGGAATAGCCATCCCTGGCCATGCTCTGCTACGGATGCCCCCACACCAAACTCTTTTGGCTCCACATCAGCTGGCTTGGTGCTGCTACCACTTCTCTAAGCAGTTCTCCCTGCCAATGTGAGTGTCCCTGGTGGTTGAGAGGACTTCTCCTACTGGGGTTCCTGAGGCCTGTGGTGAGAACAGATTGTTCCTTGCCAGTTCAACTCACCTGTTCCCCTAAACCCACTGGGGGCTAGAAATGAGTCCTAGTGCATATCAGCTCTATGCAGCATTCCCTGCTTCCTCCCCCTTCAGCTCAGCTTCTCTGTCTTCTCTCCATCCACTCTGGGTAGGTTACCTCTGAATATCTGTTAGGAGCACAACAGTCATCTGGTCCCTTGGTGGGAGCTGTTTCATCTGACTGTCTAGTTGGCTATCTTGTCCTCTAGAACCACATATTCTTTATTATTCATTCACTGATGGATATTTGGATTGTTTGCAGTTTTTGGATCTTGTATAAGGAGATATTAAAAATAATTTTACAAGTTGATGATGCTTGGTAAGAAAATTGATAGTTGTTCAGGAATTATATAGGCAATCTATACAGAGAGATCAGCATGCTGTGAAGTTTAAAAAGTGAAAAATTATATGAAAGCATATCTTGTGTGAATTTTCCACATTGATGTTCATGTAATTATATTTTTAAAGGCAACATACAAAAATTGGTAGAAGGCAGAGCTAGAAAGTGACCAAAATGCACAATAACTTCTTTAAAAATCTGGCCTAAAAGATGATTTCATCTATTCATCTTGTCAGCTAGCCCCTCCTGCATTTCATTTCTTGCCATTCGAATGTGCTATCCCCCTTTTTTATTCCTCAATCATTTTTTAATTTCAATTTTCTTAATAATTTTAATCACTTTCTGCCATTTCAATTAGTATGATGTTCATTTCCTTGGTCTTTCTGTTAGAAATTATGTTTTTTCTGTGTTTTTTTTTTTCTTCAGTATAGTGGGTGCCTGTTACTTTTCCTTGCAAATCCCATGGCAATTTAGACAGAGTACGCATTCACCAAATACTTCTGATGAATTACTGAATTGAAAAGCTAGGGTGACTTCCATTCTGGTTTGCCTTAGAGAGTTCTAGTTTATGCTTAATTCCAACAGTGTGATTATTAATAGAGCCACCTTACATGCTCAACAATGCTTCATTTGGATAAGTAGTTTTATGAACATTCTTGTGGTAACCCTTATTAGATCAAGCCCTATAAACTGACATCACTGTGGTAATACAAGTTGTATTATAATTCATCAAGTTACCACTCACTTTTGTACGAAGACATTCTAAACGTTTTCAGCATGTGGTAGGTAATGCTAACTTGGTGCAACCTCCTTTATTCCATTTTTATTTAAACTGCAGCATGGCTCTTTTACTGACATCTGGGGAATTTGCACCTATAATCTCAGCTTTTAGTATGTTTCCCCCTTTTTAACTATTTTCTCACCTTTCTGTCAGGTTCAGTTGAATTTTGACTTCATTTCTTTGTATTTACAATGTGCAAAAATATAAGACTGGGATTCTTGCATGGATTTACTATCTTAGTGCAAGATGTTATCTGTACAAGTTAGATTTTATAGTTGCTAACTACTCAAACTAATTTTAAATAATCTAGTATATGAAGAATGTATTAGAATGATGTTAAGTATATTATTTAATGGCTGAAAAGAACACTGTAGACTCAGGAGTAGGTGGGAACAATGGTCATGGGTATTGGACAATTAGGAAAATGTCATGGGTACTCTCCACGTGTTTGCTACTACATCGCTGCACTTTATCCCCAACACACCCTCAGCCGTGCCTCTCTTCTCTCAGCTACATGCTGTACATAATCTCTAACCAACCATTGACTTTTACTTTATTCCAATATGATTTAAATTTGGAGAGTAAAGTATTATTTATATGCTTGAATCATGTGCCATCACTTTAATTGCACAGGTATGGGGTGCCTCTGCTTTCCATTGTTAGAAGACATAACTGATGGCATGAAAGATTTACATTACAGCCCACACAATGACTTTCTCAACATACATGTCCATCTTGTCATATTTACTTAAGAATGTCCTCTCAATGTAATTTGATGATTTTTTTAATAACAACAAAACCCATTCAGTTTTCCCTGTGGAAAACAATCTAATGCTCAAAAATCAATAAATCTAAAAAATCAAACACAGGTTTCTGAATGACAGCCATACTTTATTTCTGTTATTCTCCCTCAATATTGTTTAATATATACTATAAATTATAAGTTTAATTTAATCACAGTTAAATACACGCACACAAATATGTGAATATGGGGGAAATAATTAAAAGAAAAGTTAAACTATGCATGTGTATATGCACACACAGTTATGAGATTTGATAAAAAGAAAAACAGGTGAATGGTGTAGTTTTCCTTTCTGCAAATGGTCATGGGCCTTTAGTAATATTTGTTACTTAGGATTTTCCTTCTCTATTATGCACTCAATCAGTTACATAGATTTTCACGAGCTTTATTGGATGAATGCCTCAATTGTAATTACTGAGGAAATGAGCTCTTGGTGATTCTCCTGGGGTGGGTGAGTATTTTTCTTTTCTTTTTTCTTTTTTTTTTTTTTTTTTTTTTTTTGAGACGGAGTCTTGCTCTGTCGCCCAGGCTGGAATGCAGTGGCGCGATCTCGGCTCACTGCAAGCTCCGCCTCCTGGGTTCATGCCATTCTCCTGCCTCAGCCTCCCCAGTAGAGTAGCTGGGACTACAGGCGCCTGCCACTACACCCGGCTAATTTTTTGTATTTTTATTGGAGATGGGGTTTCACCATGTTAGCCAGGATGGCCTCGATCTCCTGACCTCGTGATCCGCTCGCCTCGGCCTCCCAAAGTGCTGGGATTACAGGTGTGAGCCACCACACCTGGCCACTGGGTATTTTTCATGAGCTTCTTCCTCAGATGGTTTTTGTTTCTTTCCATATTTCTCCATTCTTATAGTAAAAATCTTTAGTTATCCTCTAGTTTCCCTTTAGTTATCAAGATGATTTGAATATTTTTGTATAACAACAAAATCAATTCAAATCATTCCCTAAGGAAAACAATCTAATATTTTTAAAATTCTTAAAGTCAAATAATCAAGTCCAGGTTTTTGAATGGGCTTGATTATTATATAACATTATATTGAACATGACATTGATTATAATTATAACATTATAATCAGACTTTAGGCCTCTTCAGTGGAAAGGGAAAACGGGAAAGATTGTTAGCAAGTTAAGCTATCAATTTAACATGGATTGATTGTCATCCCTTTTGGATATATTTCTCTAAGCCATTTAAGCATGAAACTGAGTTACAGACACATAAACATATTTCAAGCAGAGCAATAGAAGTAATATCAAAGATACCACCTAACTTTCTCCAATTTATTTTCATAATCACACATTAGAAATATAGCAGGCAGAATTACTACACCCCCACAAACAATTTCCACATTCCAAATCTAGGAATTTGAATATGTTCTTTTTTTTTTCTTTTTCTTTTTTTTTTTTTTTTGAGGTGGAGTCTCGTTCTGTTGCCCCGGCTGGAGTGCAGTGGCACAATCTCGGGGCTCACTGCAACCTCTGCCTCCCAGACTCTGGCAATTCTCTTGCCTCAGCCTCCCAAGTAGCTGGGATTATAGGCACATGGCACCAGGCCTGGTTAATTTTTGCATTTTTAGTGGAGAGACGGTTTCATCATGTTGGCCAAGCTGGTCTCAAACTCCTGACCTCAAATGATTCACCCACCTCGATCTCCCAAAGTGCTGGGATTACAGGTGTGTACCACTGAGCCCGGCCTGAATATGTTTTTTCAATGGCAAACAGGACTTTATAGGTGCGACTAAGATTAGGCATGTTGAGAAGGTAAAAATATGCTGTATTATCCATGTGTGTCCAATATGATCACATAAATTTCTAAGCATGAAAAAATCTTTGTAGGCCACAGAAACAAGAGAGATGGCAGCCTGAGAAGGACTCATCTTTCCTCTCCTGTCTATCATTGGCTTTGAAGATGGAAAAAGAAGGACTTAAGCTAGGGAATGTGGGTCATCTTTAGAAGTTGTAAACAAGAAAACGAATTCTCCCACTGAGCCTCCAGAAAGAAATGCAGGCCTACTAGCACCTTGATTTTAGGCCAGTGAGATTCTCATAGGATTTCTGATCAACCGTGCTGTAAGATAATAAATACTCTTTTTAAATTCACTAATTTTGTGGTAACTTGTTAGAGCAACCATAGAAATATGTCTGTAGGAACACTGTTTTTAGGAAAAAACATTGTCTATAAGAAAAAACTGCATATTCTACAACTACTGGTTAAGAATATCAAAGTAGCTGTTCTCAGATTTGACTGAACATTAAAATTACCTTGAGAGCTTTTAATACTTGCAATGCCTAGGCCCACCTCAGCCCAATTAAATCAGAATCATGGGCTAGGATCCAGACAACAGTGGTTTTAGAGCTCCCCAGAGAATTCCAATATGTAGCCAAGTTTTGAAAACCACTCATACACGGAGTTCTGCAGAAGAATACTTTAGCTGTTTGTGTTGGAACTGAAGTATAGTATTAATGGGTCATTCCACAACCAGTAAGTGCTGGCTACTTCTAGATGAGAAAATACATTATGAGACAAGTGAATCTATTCTCTTAATAACTCATTGCCTTGTTTCAAAGTGCCAGTATTTTTCTCAGAAGCAATGTTTGCAGAGTTGATAGTATATTGCTTTTTCAGAAACTTTCATTCTAGGCTGGAATACTTGAGACTAGGTTATGAAGTGGGATTAAAATAATATGATAATGAAAGAATTCTAACAAAAAAGGAGAAGAACAAGTATTGGAATGGTAACATAGTTGGTGCATTGTAAAAGTTAGAATCCCCTAATCAAAAATATGGATATGCTTTGGAAAGAAAACATACAATTATTCTTGATGGAAATAAAGAAGTCTACTATGTAGTAGAAAATAATTATATTTTTAAAATGTGTATATTTTTTCAAAAAGTAAATTTATTTTTATTTTATCATAGGTTACAAATAATAATTGTATATGTTTACAGGGTATACTGTGATGTTATGATACATGTATTCATAGTGGGATGATTAAATTAAGCTAATTAACATAACCATCACCTCACATACTGATTTCATTGTAGTGAAAACATTTGGATTTTTTTTTAGTAATTTTTAAACATGCATTACTATTAATTTTAGTCACCATTATGTGTGTTTAATGCTTTTCAACTAACAAAGAAAAGAATTTAAAGAGTGAATGTTGTACTTTTTTACATGAATTGAATATACATTTCCTATAAACATGATTGCATTGCGTTATTTCAAAATATAAGAGTTAGTAATATGGAAAATGATGAATAAGAACAGTTTTATAAGTTGGTGGGGAGTGTAAAGAGTAGTTGGCTGGAAGATAAGTGACCCGCACATTCATTTTGGTTCTATGGTTGATCCATTCACTGGTGACTCTGGGAAAAGATTGACTCTGAGAAAGAACAAAGTATATGAGGTATATTAGCATGTATTCATAGTTTAAATTTAAAATTATATGATTTGGAGACTGAATATAATGCTAAATTTAATAAAATATCGCATTGAAAGAAGAAAACACAGTAACCTAGAATTCTATATACCTCAAAATTATACTTCAAAAGTGAAAGATGAAGATTTCTCAAGCAAACAAAACACTAAGAAGATTTATTGTTAGTAGCTCTACTATGCAAAAAATGTTAAAAGAAGTTCTTCCGGGAGAAGGAAAATGATGTAGTCAGCAATTTGGAACTATGGGAGGCTGAAGTGTGCGTATCATCTGAGGTCAGGAGTTCCAGACCAGCCTGGCCAACATGGCGAAACCCTGTCTCTACTAAAAATACAAAAATTAGGACAGTGTCATGGCAGACGCTTGTAATCCCAGATACTCGGGAGGCAGAGGGAGGAGAATCGCTTGAACCCGGGACACAGAGGTTACAGTGAGCTGAGATCACTCCACTGCACTCCAGCCACATGTAAAACTGAACTTTGGGTGACAGAACTAGACTCCGTCTCAAAAACAACAACAACAACAACAACAAAAAGGAAAGAAATAATAAATATAATATTCTATTTTTTCGTATATTACTTGACCTATTTGATAACTGTTTGTTCAAAGTAACAATAGAAACAACTTACTGGGTAATAGTTATAGTATATGGGTAAGTAAAATGAATGAAAGCAATGTTATAAAGGATAGGAAGGAGGAATTGGGGCTACTGTGTTGTAAGGTAACTGTATAATCTGTGAAGCATGATAGCGTTATTTAATAGTGATTTTAGATTTGTTGTGAATGCATATTGCGAAGTCTAGGTCAACTTCTATTTTATTAAAGTATAGTAATGTAATTGATGTGAGAGGGGACAAAATGAAATTATATATAGTACTTAATTAAAACCAGAGAAGCCAGAAAATGAGAGAAGAAAAAAAAATAACAAGTGCAACTAAGAGAAAACTTATACAAGCATGGCACTTATTAAGCCAAACAAGCCAATAATCACTAAAAATGTGAATGCTTTATACCAATTCAAAGACAGAGATTGTCGGAATGAATAAGAAAAATAACACAAAATGCAAGGTCCAGCTATATAGAAACTCACTTTAAATATAGACACAGGTATGTTAAAGAAAATAAATGGAGAAAACATGCCATTGTAACAATAATGAAAAGCCAGCTGGAGTAGCTAGATTAATTTAAGACTAAGCAAACTTCAGGGAAGGGAAAATATCAGGAATAAAGACAGGTATTTTAGAATGATAAATGGGTCAACTCTTAAAAGATGTAACAATCCTTAATATTTATTCATCTAAAAATATGTATCAAAATCTATGAGACAAAAGCTAATTGAACAGTAAGAAAAACAGAAAAAATTACCAATATATTTGGAGACTCACTGCTCCTCATTAAGTACTTGATAGATCAAAAAGGCAGTAAGTCGATAAGGATATAAGTGACCTGAATAGAACCATCAATTGACTTGATCAAATTGACATGTATAGATTATTTTATCAACCATCACACAATACACATTCTTCTCAAGCTCAAGAACATTAATCAAGAAAGACCACATTCTGTGCCAATAAAAACATACCTGAAAAATTTTAATATAAATTATACAAAGTTTTTTTCAGATCACAATAAAATTAAACTAGAAATAAATAATAGAGTTCAAACAATCCCATGAACACAATGTTTGCTACTGTCTTACAAATCATGTTTTAAACCTGTCTATATCTTTCAGTAAGATGGAAGACACATGGGCCCATTTTTTATATTACAAGGCATAAGGCAACAACAATAACAAAATCCTAAGTGTGACAGGACCATCTGTTTTCCACATGTAAAACTGAACTTTGGCAAAAACATGAGTGTTATAATGAATAATGGAGCCAATTAAAAAAAAAAACACAGGTTTACAACATTTACCCACATCATGGCCCTGTCCCAAATCACTCATCCCCTTAAAAAAGAGAGTTATAATCTTGTCCCAAAAGACTAAATTTTAAATATGCAATATGCTGATTATGTTTTTCACAAATCACAGTAATATGGCTATAGAAATTATACTTTTAAAATATTTGAGACCTATGTTGAATTTATTGGTTATTTATGATTAGAAAAGTATACTGGTAAAGAAAAGATGTCTTATATATGAATATAATATTAATTAGCTACCATTTGACCAAGAAGCTTCCACTGAAGGGAACAGTAAAAGTCCTTGTTACTATCTGTCCATATTGCACATATTCAGTTTCCCATTGCTCTTATCAAAAATCTATGTAGGCAACTAAAACGTTCTTTGCAGATAACATGCTGGATTTTGCCATATGAATGGTAAACACGAGTTAGTCTGGGGCACTACACAATATAAAGCAATGTGATTGAAAACTAGATACCTTTCTTTAGATACTACTCCAACATATCAAGATAATTGAGTTATTAAACACTGAATAACCGAAAAGAAGAGCAAGGTGAACATCTAAAAATATTATTTATCCTACAGGAGTTGTTGCCTTATCTGCAAAATTTTTATTGGATATTGTGATTGTTTTATTAAAAAACAACCTATTTTTAAAAGTAAATGAAATTAATTTACATTGGAAATTATGTTAGAGATATGTGAATGATTAAAGTTTGTGTTTTAATATCATTCTTGGATTTTATGTTTCTCAGATTTTAGTAACCAAGTTAACTATGATAACTGCAGCACACCTTCTCTGCTTTAGGTTTGGATCCTCCAGAGCATTCAGGGTTTTTAGAAAGCTATTGCTATCAGTTTTCCTTGCTGCGTATAGCTGGTAGAATGATTTCATTTGCACTTGGTCTTGAGCTCAAGATTTTACTTGTATCCAACTCTGAGTACTTTCCAATTGCGGTTTTTAGGACAAATTAAACTGACATTATATATAAAAAGTTTTCTAACAACAGTTGCAATTTATTTCAGATTTTCCATTTAGCGGAAATGAAATTGCCCAGTATCCCTGTGTCTGTTCTATTTGTAGTGGGTATTCATGTGTTCACGTGCATGGATTTCTTATTCTTTCTATTTTTGAAAAATTCACAACTGCCAGCTTCTGTGAAATATTCCATCTACTTGTTTCCTCACCACCCATCCCCCTTGTAATCTAACATCAACTTCCATAGAGAAAGTGCTTTGAATTTTCCATAGCAATACTTGCTGTTTTAAGTTTTCTGTTGGTACCAAAAATATTACTTGATAACTTATTTCCATTAAGGGCTTCATTTTCTTTTCACTACTCTTCCTGCTTAATCTTGCAGCGCTTTCTCAGCTAATGCATTGCCTCTACCTGGAAGTCTTCCTTGACTCTTGAGTAAGAGTTAGATTGTCCTCAGCAGTGTAGGCATATAACCAGTTAGGTCCTGTAGGCCAGTACTGACTACATTGCATTTCAATGTATTCATTGTTTCCTTAAGGATCTTGTCCTCATTTGTTTGTTTATTTAAACCCAGGACTTAGATTAATATGATGAATGGTGAATACTTGGAAATGAGTGTTTCTGATTACAGGTACCTCCATGAGATAATATTCAAAATAGATAAGAGATATGTTTCAATGTAATTTTACCTTTCATATCAAAATATGTGAATATAGATATAAACTAGTGACTTTATTGGTGTTTGTTGTGATAAAAATTATGAATTTATGCTCATTAATTTACAAATGGTTCTTCCACCCTCCTCCAACTTTTATTCCTCTTCTTGTTGCATTTAAAGTGACCTTGTTAGTGTTGCTATATGAGTCATATGAACCAGATACATGATTTGAAGTTAAGATGTATTTAGTTTTGGAATGTTAATGTAAAAGAGGGATGTTAACTTCCCTATGCAAATGAGATGATGGGTTTTGGTACTGAAGAATATCAACAGCACACATGCACACACATAAAAAAATCATTGAGTATATGATTTACTCAGGTGTCAAAAGAATTACCTAAGCCTTATATTTTTAGAAATGACAGGGCAACTTAATCAATAAAATAATATATATTGAGAGAGTGTCCCTATAAATATCTTAGATAAAACATTATTTACTAAATGAAATAATGGCAATTTGCCACTATTATACCTAAGTGGAACTTATAAAATGAATGTCTTGCTTTCAGCACTATTAATGTTTTACATTAGTAGGTTTATGTGAGACACTTTTGGCTTTAGGTGGAAATGCCAACAAAAAATAAATACAAAGTCTGCTTTGGAAAGTTTGTAATTTCTAAAGTTCAGATTTTGTTATTCATACAACTCCATTCACTAGAATCTCGCTTTATAGTAGCATAAGAGCAGGACAAGGGAAAAATGGCTATGCAAATAGACTTAGGTAAAGCAACAAAATATCCAAAATATATTTAATAGAATTTTAAAAGACATTCTTCATTGGAAGCAATGCTAATAGATGCTAATATCCATGAACTGCATATTTGTACAAGAAGAGGGGAGCTGAGCTTTATTTGAGTCCCACCCTAAATCAGCCCTTCAATGTTAGGAAGATCTTAAATCTATGCAAATTGTGTGTGTGTGAGTGTGTGTGTGTGTGTTCACTCACAAAAAGAGGTGAACTTCCTCTGATCCTTCTTCTGTTGTTGGTAATAAGATGAGACCGGAGAAAATTCATTTGACTCCGTCCTGCCCCAGGTATTGGTTTTCTCACATAGGCTGTTTGCTGATTGAAATATGAACTGATAGTCATTGACATGGACTGTTATACTATCCAGTAGAAAATTTATATAGTGAAACCACATTAGACATTATTAGTGGAACAAAAGTTAATGTGTGAGGACATGTTTATGCACCGATATGTCTAGAAGACTACACGAAAACCTGATACTACTAGTTGTCTCTGAAGAGGAACTTAGTGGTTGAGAGGACAAGAGTGGGAAAAAGCCTTATGTTTTTTTAAATTACCTTTTTGAACTTTTGAATTTTATATCATGTAAATGTGTCACCTATGCAAAGATTCATTTACTTAAATTGTGTGTGTATGTGAAAACTACAGTCGAATGTGCCTCTGATAAAATCTATTAATTGTAAAAATGGACTAGCAAAGTGTCATACTAAAGGCTCAAATATTACATAATAATTTTGGCATTTAAAAAATAATGGTTTGGGGATATAGAATGCTATCACTTTCCACTTTCTTTCACTTACTTCTTGGTAATTTTCTCCCAATTCTTCTATGGATAGAAATACCAAGAGAATAACTTTGTTTTGACAAGCCGAAGAGATTTACAGAAATCAATGACCTTGGACATGCTCACTTATTTCTGGAAAGATGATAAATTGTCTGCACATTTGGCCAATAACTTCATCTTTTTTCTCCCTAAAATGACAAACTCACCTGGCGTGTATAGCATTATTTATAGAAAACAGTGTAGTAAATGTCATAGTGAAATGATAACTTCTGATCTTGGGACTGCTCCCAGATGTAACAGACTGTAGGTTTTACTTTTGTTAGACCTTAGAGCAAGGTCTTTATTATTTACTTATTATTAAAGATAATAAGATAGCCAGCATTTATTGACTATGCCCCATATGCTAATTACCTGAACCACATGACCTCATTTAATCTTCATAATGAGCTCTTAAGAAAGTACTGCCATCACTTCCATGGTATAGATGAGGAAACTAACGTACAGAGAGCTTAAGGGATTTTCCCCAAGTGCACACAATAAATAAATGATAGAACTAGTAGTCTTTTTCCAGAGCCAATGCTTCAAATCCCTAGGCTATACTAGTACTTGTCATTTCCCAGCTTAAAAAGCCTAAATCTAAATTATAGGCTTGATAGTTTCAGTCTTACCTAAGAGAAAAAGGTATTCTCAGGTGTTAAGGGGTCTTAAACACTGATATTTCTTAAGTAAAATCAACACACTAGGCAAAGATTGCTGTTAGTAGATACACTGATATATCATTTGAACTTCAGCCTCATGGATTTTCAGATTCACTAGAGCTGTATATACCCACTTGCATCTCCATCTTAGTCCAACTTACATTCCAGCCAGGCTTAGACCTTAATTGATCAATCAGGTCACAGCTGCTAATTATAAATGGAAATATCTGTGCCTTAAACTCTCTCATTTATATAATTTTGTTTAAAAAAGTTGTGGAATCCAAACATGATGTTATTTTGAATCTAATATGTTTGGAAAATACTGGCTCAGAAAACTGGAATGGTGAAAGTTTTTGATTATTTTTTAAAAATAGCAATCCTTCATGTAAGTGGGAAAAAATTGGTTTGATCATGTGTCCCTAGGAGTTCATGATACATCATGGTTTGGACCACTGCATTCCAAAGACATCATTTATTTGTTGCCACAAGGGCATAAAACTATGGGATGAGATGTTTTTAACAATTTTACATAAAACTTAAGTTTGTGACTTTTCATGTTTGTGATTTGGTAAAAGGTCAATCAATCTTATTACATATAAAAGAGGCAGACTGGCTTACCACATCCATGGGAGGAAAAAGTGACCAAAGTATATTCACAGAGTTTGCCTGAGAATGAACTTCTTCATCCTCCCTGTCTACCATGAAAGAAGTCTGTACATTTGAAAAAATAAAATAATAAATCTTGGCCAAAGGGCACTAAAAGCCAGTGGAAATAAAGTGCAATTACTAATTAACATTATCTTAATTAGACTTTTATAAACCAAGTTTGATTGATTTCTTGGCAATGTGACCCCTTGGCTCACAACATTAGAAAAGAACCAATTAATTAATTTAGATTTGGGAAAAAAAAGAGAATATTTCCTCCCATCATTGACCAAGAATTCTCTTGAAAATTATTTAATCAATATTTAACATTTCTCAAGGAATAGGAAACAAAAGCCCATTGCTTAATTTTAAACATAACTGTGACTCAATTTCTACTTAAGTAATCATGGAAGTTTTATTAATCTTTTAAAAGAACAATAGCAGCAACAATGACAAACCCCTAGAAGGCTTTGTAACCTAATACAGTCTGTGAGACTCCAAATGGAATTCTAGCAATTAAAAATACTCTCATGAAAGCATTTAATGGATGTCATTGAAAATATATGGATAAATGAACAAAAAGGCTAAAAAATTTAAGTAGACTGCTCCAGGTCATAAGGTTTGTAAGCTGTAACCTAGAATTTGAATCCAATGTTTTCAGATTATTAACCCAATATTCTCTTTATTTCTCTATGTTTAGAGGTATATATAAATATAAACTATTAAGTCTATCCTAAATTTTTAAAAATCTGATTTGTCACATACGGAGGTGGAGGTAACTATCATGCTAGTATTTTAGTCTAAAATTAATAATTAAAAGAGATCTAAGCATTCTTTTGCCTTTTAAACAAAAATCTATAATTCACCCCAGATTGTTGAGAGAAAACACTTTTTCACAGAATAATGCCTAATAAATGTCAAATAAATTATAGAATTAGAAAAATCATCCTTTGTAAACTTCAGTGTAATAATGGATTGCCACATCAATAATCAATAGATGATGAAACTATTGGTAAAACATATTAGGTGAATTGGTTTTGAAGGGAACCAAATAATTCTCCTATGTTAAAGTATTGCCTCCTATCCCAAATATTATTTGCCAAAGTCAAAGGGAAATTGTTTTTTATAACAAAGAGATCTAGTGATCACAACCTTAAGAAAGTAGCCAAACTCAACATCACTGCTAGTGGGACCCACTGGCAGAATGCGCTGCTGATGTGTTGCAACGTGAAGTACATTTTCTCACCTGTCAAGTGTACTTACTAAAATATTTCAACTTGCATTGAATCCAGTCTTTAGTTCCAAGTTTTAGTTTATAAAAAACATAGAGAAGAACAAGGAAATGACACTGTAAGAGAGGAATTTGACAAAACAAAGTTGGAAACATTCTGCAAGATAACTGACCCAGACTGTTAAAAGACTCAATGCTGCATATTTTTTAGAAGATGTTCTCATTGTTTATTTTAATAGCTATAATAGTTTTAAAAGTCATGTACTGATAATAAAGTTACATCAGCCTTTTAGGACATCTTTTTTTTTTTCACTTTTTAACTGGATCTCTTTATTTACATATTTTCTATTTTTAAACAAGCAAAAAACAGAAAATCTCATTGACCTCTCTTCTCTCTAAGCTAGAGTCTCTCCATCCACTTTTCCACAAACTTTCCCAAATGCTGGCCAAATTTCAACATTCCCGTTTTTCTCATCACCCTCATTATCACACCAAAGCACTTCTAAGAGCTTCAGAATACAACTGACATCTTCAAATCTCATATTATTTGATTTTTCAGCATTTATTTTTACTGTGGATCATTTCCTCATTTTCAAAATCCTCTTTTCTTTTATATATATATATTTTTTTATTATACTTTAAGTTCTAGGGTATATGTGCACAACGTGCAGGTTTGTTAAATTTGTATACATGTGCCATGTTGGTGTGCTGCACCCATTAACTCATCATTTACATTGGGTATATCTCCTAATGCTATCCCTCCTCCCTCCCCGCTCCCCCCACCCCACAAAGCTAGAAACCATCATTCTCAGCAAACTATTGCAAGGACAAAAAACCAAACACCACATGTTCTCACTCATAGGTGGGAATTGAACAATGAGAACACTTGGACACAGGAAGGGGAACATCACACACCAATGCTGCATATTTTTAAAGTAATATAAAATGTATGATTTGGATTAAAATATGTTAACAAAGACTTTACAGCAATACACATAATAAAAATGGCTGGTTGGTAGTGTGTCAGGAATTGGTTCCTTCTGGTCGATTCTTGGTCTCACTGACTTCAATAACGAAGCCGCGGACCCTCGCGGTGAGTGTTACAGTTCTTAAAGATGGTGTGTCTGGAGTTTATTCCTTCAGATATTCAGATGTGTCTGCAGTTTCATCCTTCCAGTGGGTTCATGATCTTGCTGACTTCAGGAGTGAACACGCAGACCTTCGCAGTGAGTGTTACAGCTCTTAAAGGTGGCACATCTGGAGTTGTTTGTTCCTCTCGGTGGGTTCGTGGTCTTACTGACTTCAGGAGTGAAGCTGCAGACCCTCGCGGTGAGTGTTACAGCTCATAAAGGTAGTGCAGACCCAAAAAGTGAGCAACAGCAAGATTTATTATGAACAGCAAAAGAACAAAGCTTCCACAGCATGGAAAGGAACGTGTGCAGGTTGCCGCTGCTGGCTCTAGTGGCCAGCTTTTATTCCCTTATTTGGCCCCACCCATGTCCTGCTGATTGGTCCATTTTACAGAGTGCTGATTGGTCCGTGTTTACAGAGTGCTGATTGGTGCGTTTACAAACCTTTAGCTAGACACAGAGTGCTGATTGGTGTGTTTACAAAACGCACCTGCAAAAAATAAATAAGTAAAAGGAAGTAGAATTGTTCTAGATTAAAATAGACTAAAGAGATATGTAAAACAAATGCAATTAATAAACTGTATGTGATCTAAGTGTTTAAAAAGGTAATTGTAAAATATTTATTGCATGCAACTCAGGAAATTTGAAAAGGAACTGGAAGTTAGATGACATTAGGTAGTTACTGTTATACTTCTTAGATGTAATGAAAATGCAAGTAACATAAGAGAATGTCATTGTTTTTAGGAAAAGATGCGGGAATATTTTGGTGTAAATTTCATGAGACACATGAAAAACATTTGCAAATGTTGGGTCTATATGGTTCATTCCTTTAACTTTTCTGTGTGTTGAAAAATTTCATAATGAAAACCTGGAAAAACATTTGATGGTAAGCAATATGCCAAAGATATATTACCTACATTCTCATATGTTAAGAGTCTTTAAAGTATCTTAGTCAAAATGTATTGAGAATTACTGTAAATAGAGAAGAAATCCACTCAAATAAAATTTATTTGAAAGGGAAAAAGACACATAGATAGCAAACATCCCTTGGCAAAGTGACCTGTGCCTAAAACTGCTTTAATTTTTAATTTTTTTTAAAAAAAGAGGAAGAATTTTACAGGACTTTGTGGAAATGATAGAGTAGTGCCCAGGATAAATCTTATATTTTTAGCAACAAAAAAAATGAAATAAACTGATAGAAGTTGATCTAAATAGGTACTGCCACTCTTAGCCTTCTGAAACTATGGTTTGTCTTTCATGAATGTAGGTGTCCTACTTGCTAGAACGCCTGTTTTGCATTTCTCCTGAGAATATGCTGTGTGTTGATAGACCATCATGACTTACATAATTTATCTCTCTTTTTCTCAGTGGGACTTTTGTTGTCCCGATATTTCTCCTCATCTCTAATGTCTCCCATTCAGCATGAAATGAAGAGATGCGCCAGTGGAAAAGAACATACGATTTAGTCAGAAAACCTTACATGCTTCACCTACCAATCTTGGGTTTGGGGAAAAGATCTTTAATGTTTCTTCATCTATAAAATGAAGAGAATGATATGACAACCTACCCTTTAGGGCTACATATTTGATAATTTATTCTTTAAAGAAAATTCATTTTAGCATGTACTGGCTAGATGCTGGGCTAGTTGATTGAAGGAACTTTGTGATCTAAAGGGTTTAATAGACATTACATTTTTAAAGTAGATGTAATAACTGTCTACTATGAGAATATTAAGATGGACCACCAATCTCAGGCCTTAGTATAGGGCTCCTAAAAGAGTTGATATCTCACTTGGTATTTGATAATCTAGTAGGAGATAAGTTTATAAACGACAGGAACAACACTATAAGAAGATGGAATAATATGTTAAGGCAATGAAATTGAAGATAGCATCATTCATTCAAAGAAGTCATACTTGGAATGAGACTCAGAGGTTTCAACAGAACTCCTGGTATGAAGTGTGTAAAGACAAGAGTTGAGACAAGTAAAGTAAACTGGATCGATATTATAAAGGGCATTCTATGTGTGAATTTCCATTGTTGCCAGTGAGAATTGATGAAAATCAGTAAGTTCAGAGTAATACGTGTTTTAGAAAATGTATGACTCAAAGTGGTCATATGTAGAGATATTAGAGAGAAAATCAGGACCTAGGATGATATCTTTTATATGGGCATCCTGAGAGCCAAACACAGTCCATAACTCACAGTAGGTATTCAATTCTAAAATTGGGGGCAATAATGAACTGAGATACAAAAGTCAGTGAAACACTCTGGAGATATTAAATACTATTCTTCAAATTGAATATAGTGGGACAGGTTTGTTTATTGCTCCCTTTGGAATCTTCACTTGCTTCTTATTCATTTTCCTCCTTCCCAGTGGGCTGAACATGGCATTGTCTCAGTGCTCTCTGAACCTGCAATAAAGTTCTAAATTCAGAGCAGACTTGGAAGACAAGAAAATCTCCCTATAATATTCATAACTTCTTGCTCATTTAGGCACCTTGGGATTGGTAATTTCAATTCAAATAATCAGTTGTACTCTCAAGAATAGAGTCTGTGAGCGAGAACTAGCTGGGGCCTTAACTAAGCACTGAACAGTCTACTACTGTGCAAAGGCAGCCATGATTAATTCATGAAAAGATGGTATTTGAGCACTAGTTACTTTTCACCTGCAAATGTTTACTGATATGGATCGATTTTTTTAAAAAAAATGGGATCAAAATTTTGAGTGTTCTTATTATTTGCCTATTTCTTCATTACTGTTTTCTGTGTAAAATGAGATTCATTTTTTTTCTTCTGATTAAGTACCATCATGAAGAAGATTTAAATTAGATTTATCAGCAGGTTCATGAAGATAGGGTGCCATGGAATCATGGAGCCAGAAGTTGCAGAGACAAGCTATGCTAAAACTGTCATTTCTAAGAAAGAGGGATCTTAGCCCAGGAACATCCAGTTTTTTGCCTAGTACAGTGATTGTAAGGATTAACATTTGAATCTGTGTTTCTTATCTTCTAGTCCAAAAATCATTCAATACATTGATCTATAAAAAATGTGAAAACTATTGTTCATAAAAATATAGAGGGAGGAAAACGTTAAACTGACTGATAATTAAATTTATTTTGATATATTGATGATGAGAATATCAGGTCAACTGATTATCTTTCTTTGTTGTAGCACCTTTGACCTCAAGGATCTGAATGAAAGGACCTAGTGTGTTTTAAAAAAAGAATAAAAGGATAAGAAAAAGAACACTGAGAAGGCTAAACATTAGAGATAACTGAACAGAGTACAGGTGACCCTTTTCTTAACCATCAGATAAGCAGAAAAGTGAAGGGCATTTAAAATTTCCTGGAAAATGACATGGAGTTCCACATCATAGAAACCATGGTTAGTAATATTATTAGCAATATGGTTGCTCAGTCTGTCAGTCTACATAGATAACTCTTAATCACAAAAAGTTAATTTTCTGGGTGTTGTGGTAGCTCAGTCTTAAACACATGTTTTAATATTGAAAAAAAATTCTTAGGAGTATGCCTTAGGCAGAAAACACTCTAGAAGGATATCCACATTTCAAAAACATATTTCTAACGCACAAAAAAGCAAGGGAAAAAGAAATTGGAAACTAGCATACATTAGTGCTTCTCAGTCTTAAATTTGCAAAAGGATCACCTGGGGATTGCAATGAAATGAATGTTCTGGCTCAATGTGCCTGCGGTGGGATCTGAGATTTTGCATCTATAATAAACTTGCAGGTAATACTGACAACATTAATGTGCAGATCACAGTTTGAATAGCAAGTTTCTTCATCAGTAAATGGTTTTACCATTGCATGGTGGGGTGGGGGGAGAAGGAGATCTTCCAAAAATAAAAATTTTACTCTCTCACTCTATGGCAAAATATACTAAAATATATATTCCTGAATTTGAAAGATATTTTCCAAATAATTTATTTTTATTTAGAAAGAAAATGAGAGAAAAAAGAATAATTTTATTTCTAAAAATGCTATACTTTTTAGTATATCTCTGATATACTAAAGATATACTATGCTATCAAAGAATATCTCTGATTTCACCAATTATGTACAGTTGAATAATGAAAAAAGTAATATATCAACTAATATTTTAGGATATATTGAGAAAGAAAACTGGAAATTTATTAAGCAACTTATGACATGCCCAGATCGATGCTAAGAGTAGCAGCAGATATAAAAAGATTAAAAGAAAATTCTACACTCTCAAGGAATTTATAATTTAATTGAAAATAGAGACAGGTGTATAGATATACACATGTACGTCATCATAGATTTATTCAATATTTACTACATGACTTCTTTTATCCAGACATGGTATGAAAACAGCTTGCTCCTACCTTCATGGAGATTTAAGATACCTAATTGTAGCCCATGTGTTTGAAATCCACTTTGCAGTACATGATGATACAGATTAGTGGTTATCATATAAGTCAACTTTTATCTTTTACATTTGAACAAATTAAGACATCTATTTCAATCAAAACTTTATAGCTTATCAAACTCTCCTTTTAATTCCTACATAGTTTCTTGAAATTTACAATATGTGAACATGAATGCAACCATTAACAAAAAGTTAAAAATAAATGACATGTATCTTTCTTACTTTTCCTAATGAACACAATGAGTGAGTTAATGTACGATTTGTGAGAGACTTACTTTGAATATTGTAATAAGTGTACCAAAAATTGATTGAAGGATTAACACTATTCTGACCTGTATTAAGAAATCAATTGTATAGTCATAGGCAAGTTATTATTTTAATTGCTAGGAAAGCTTCCTCTTAACATAAAGGTCCATAAGAATAGACAAATATCTCTTGAGGAACTTTCAATCACTAATTAATGTTTTCATGTTGGTTAGGTTGCAAATGTTGTAATATAATTTCTTACATATAAACCAATGGTGTCTTAAAATATGTGTTCTGAAAGATTCAAAAGACTATATAACTTGTCATATCTTGAGTTTCCAAACTACTATTTTTCAGTACATTACACTGTCCTAGGGAAATTAGATTACTACCGCTTGGAACCCAGCCTTGGAAATTCTGACTTAATTGGTTTGGTGAGGTCTCTAATTATTACTCTTTTGAAAAGTGATTCTAATGTGCTGCCTGGAATGATAACCACTGCATTAACCTATTAAAAGAGTAAAAGATTCCATGACACTAAATGTGGCATTATGTAATCCTGCCAATTCCAAACTGTATAACCTTGAGAATCTTATTTAAACTTTCTGAATCTTATTTCTACATTTGTAAAACATGATGATACCTAACTTGTAGTGATTTTAGATATTCTTGCTAATGTATAGAAAGCTCCTAGTAAATAGTTGTGTCAGCTATTTCTTGCAATTATTAATCGTATATGTGGTACTGGTGGTTGTAAATTATGTAGTATAGGTAATAGTGGTAAAATCAGTCATAACGTTTGTTAGGGAAAGTGAACTAAAAACATATCATGATACGAATTTCCAAAACCACTGTATCCAAAGAGTAATCAGAATAAGAATCAATTAAAATTATTTCATTGTAATGGAAATGAACTATAGGTACTAATGGATCAAAGAAGCTGATTTCTCGACATTTATATTTGGATAGCAAATAACAGTCTGAAACTCAACATGCCCAAAACTAAAATGTTAAGTTCTTGTTTTAGATTGAGATATCATTTACGTGCCATACAATTTACCTTTTAAAGTGTACAACTCAGTGCTTTTTCATATATTCACAAGGTTGTAAATCTCTATCTGGTTCATATTTTCAACTGCTATCAGGTTCCATCAATCTAGGACATTTCATATTAATAGATTTATACAATATATCTCTATAGAGTTTGGCTTTTTGTTGTTGTTGTTGTTGTTTGTTTTTTGAGACGGAGTCTCACTCTGTCACCCAGGCTGGAGTGCAGTGTCTCAATCTCGTCTCACTGCAACATCTGCCTCCCGGGTTCAAGCAATTCTCCTGTCTCAGCCTCCCAAGTAGCTGGGACTACGGTTGCATGCCACCATGCCCAGCTAAGTTTTGTATTTTTAGTAGAGATGGGGTTTCACTATATTGATCAGGCTGGTCTTGAACTCCTGATCTCAGGTGATCCACCAGCCTTGGCCTCCCAAAATGCTGGGATTACAGGCATGAGCCACCACGCCTGGCCTGGCTTCTTTCACTTAGCATGTTTTCAAAGCTCAGGCATGTTGTAACATGGATAAGTTATTCATTCTGATATGGTCTGGATATGTGTCCCTACCCAAATATCATGTTGAAATGTAACCTCCAATGCTGGAGGTGGAGCCTGGTGGGAGGTGATTTGATTATATGGGTTGTCCTTCATGAATGGTTTACCACCGTCCTTTCAGTGCTGCTCTCATGATAATGCATGATAGTGAGTGCTCACAAGATCTGGTTGTTTAAAAGTGTGTAGCACCTTCACCCCCTCTCTCTTCGCCTGCTCTGGCCATGTAAAGGGATGGCTCCCCCTTTGCCTTCCATTATGATTGTAAGTTTCCTGAGGCCTCTCCAGAAGGAGATGCTGCCATGCTCCCTGTACAGCCTGTGGAAGTATGAGTACATTAAACCCCTTTTCTTTATAAATTACCCAGTCTCAAGTATTTCTTTATAGCAATGTGAGAACAGACTAATACACATTCCTTTCATGGCTAAATGGTATTCTATTGTATGGATATACCTTATTTTGTTTACCCATTTGTTAGTTGTTAGACACATGTTCTCTTTCCATTTTGGAACTATTATCTATAATGTTGCTATAACATTTTTAATGTATTTTTTGTAATGTGAATATGTTTTCAGTTCCCTTGAAAATACATGTGTGTGTTTATGTATGTTAATGTTTTACATTTGCTAGAATGTCTATTGACTAAAATATTAGAAAGGGGATATGTATAAAAGTATAATTGCTGGATCATATGGTAATTCTAAGTTTATCTTTTGAGGAACTGACAAACTGTTTTCCAAAGTGGCTGCACTATTTTACATTCCCATTGGCAAAGTACAAAGGTTTCAACTTTTTATATCCTCCCCAATGCTTATTAGTAATTGTCTTTTTGATAATTGCCATCCAAGTGGGTTTAAAGTGATATATTGTTTAGATTTGTATTTCCTTAAGGGCTAATGATGTTGAGGATTCTTTCACTGCAGCATTGTTTATAACATCAATTGTAATTCACGTGACATCTGTCTAAGTACAGATAATGAAAAAAATCTCGAAGAGATATTGTTGAGTGAAAAATAGAAAGTTTCAGAACAAGGTATGTATGTAGTATATACATTGTAGTATTGGAAAGCAAGGAAGAAAGATATGTATACCTAGCACCTAGGAAATAATCACTTGGCAGGGGGACAGGCTGTAAAATATATTGAACTTCTCATAATTTAATAAATGGTGGGCTACTTACAAATTTTGTTTCACTTACTTTTCACAGTCATTCTAAAAGAGAGCATTATTATATCTTTTAATCTGGAGCATATTTTGGAAGTCTGTGATCTTATTTGCCCATGACTCTACTCCTTATTTTTATCTCCTACTTTCCATCTTTATCCACTGGCTATAGTAGAAGCTAATTGGTTGCATTAGAGCCTAACTCTTACATTCAGTTCTCGGTTTAGAGATGAATAACTGACTCAAACTGGGTCATAGTGTCATTTATCTGGGACTTTTAGATACAAAAAATGAAAGTATCCCACAAAAGGGCTGCATATATGTAAGAAATGCTTTTAACTGAAATAACAAAACCCAAATTTCGAAAGGATGATTTGATTGCATCAAGTCTGGATTCCATACGTTTACTTGATTCAAACATTTTTTTCTCTACAACATCACACTTATTCTATTTTTGGCACTATTTTAGGCAGCTTATGAAATATAAAAAGAATAAAATGATAAAAATTTGTAACATGTGATGAAGTGAATGATGTATAAAAATTGAATGAGTAAAGAACAAGGAAGTTAAAACGGTTTTAGCTTATGAGTATTTATGTGAATGATGAAGATAGTTGCAAATTGATATTGTTTTTAATTGCATAATATAAAACCTATTTCTATGAAAAAACTCAGTGTATCCTCAAGCATATAGAAGGACATTGATTTAAGCATTCTGTGTAATAGAGAAGAAATAGAAGCAATCTAAAGGGTTATCATTAAGGAAAGGTAAAACAAACTGTATCTCTATAGCATAGAATACCAGGTACAGATGTCAAAGAATGGGGTAAATCTATGCAAAGTGACATGAAATGATTTCCAAAATGAATTAAGTAGAAATAATCAAATTAAACAAACATACCTTCTGATAGCATTTAAGTTAGAAAACAAAAGGAAAATCAGAAGTAAATTCTACAAACTGGTAAGGGAGAAAGAGAGACAGAGACAGAAAGAGGAAAAAAATCTGAAAAGACACACATCAAATATATAAATGATAAACATAAGGAGCACAGTCTTTCACAGTTGGGGGTTAAATAAGATTTTTTTATAATGAGAACACATGGACACATCAAGGGGAACAACACCGTAGGGCCTTTCAGAGGGTGGAGAGTGGGAGGAAGGAGAGGACTAGGAAAAATAACTATTGTGTACTAGGCTTAAAGCTTGGGTGATGAAATAATTTGTACAAGAAAACCCCGTGACACAAGTTTACCTATGTAACAAGCCTGCACTTGTACCCCTGAACCCAAAATAAATATTAAAAATATTTTATGTTTTAAACTACAAGCTTATGTGTATTACTTCACTACTGAAAACTCTCTAAGTATTTTTATAAAAAGATTAAAAGTAAGTCTGTCAATGCCAAATTCAATTACTGATCATATATCCTCTTTGTATATGCATCAACTCTACTATCTTAGGTATTTAGAGACGCAATAACATTTCTGTTTTTATTACCAGAATGAATATACTACATCTCTTTACATATACTTTTAAATATCCTAAAGACAGCATTCCTCTTCTCTGCCTTTTATGTGGTTGCTGCAGCAGCTATCTTCATAGAAATCAGTTTCTTAGGAGAGTATAGACAAAAGGAGGAGGCACTATTTAACAATTATTGTGATGTATATGGAATATAAAGAGATCTTGACTGTTAGATATGCACAGTTTGGCTTTGAATCTATGTCTGTTTAAACATTAAGCAAAATACTTTGAGGAAAATAACATTATAGAAATATGATACTACACATTTGTAATTCTCCATTTCCTGCCCTAAAATAGCTTTAAGATACTCTTGGGTGATTAAAATCTGGGCCATATGAGGTTTGGGGTCCATAAGCTAGATAGAGTAATTCAATTTATATATAACGGTTTTCTGGATTTGCAAGAATAAACACACAAATCTCTAATAGATTTACTGAAATCTATATCCCACATAATTGGCTTTTATTGTTATCAAATGGATTATTTTATCATGTGCAGAAAGAACAGAGGCTTCAGATGGCAATATAATTACATTCATATTATATATGTTTTATTGTAATCGTTTTACACATAAAAGAAAAAGGGTTTTCTTATGAGTCAACTTCTTTTTTAATCCATAAATATGATGCATCTTGGAAGGAAGAGGAACATTTAAGGGCAGTTGTCAAAATTTGCCTCAAATAATTTCATTACATAGCAGCCTGCTGATTTAATAGTCTTCAAAGGCATATAGTTCCATAATAGACTGTAAGTAATTTATTAGAAATGCATACACCATTGCAACTGTTTCTCAAAGATGTTCTCTAGTAATTATTTTTGTTTTCTATTATAGGCATAACATTAATATTCTAAAAATCTAAATAGTTGTATTTATAAATTCATCCAATGTTAATGTATTCATCAGAAGCCTTTGTTACACCAAAAAGCTCACTCTAAGCTGTAATGATGAACTAATTGATTAATCATATTTTTTGCTTAAATCTTAATGCTTAATATTAAAGTTTAATTAAGTAGCGTCTTGATGACTTAATATAATTTTTAAACAATTGAATTGCTTCCAGTGCTAAAAGCAAGAATTATTTAATAGGATTGTGTTTGTCCACTATTTTAACCTCTTATTTCCCACAGCCTAACCTCCTGAATTTTCAACCTATTGACTTTTACTGATAGGATATTCTTGTCCTTGATGATGAGCAAACAAATCAGCTATTAATCATAATATCCTCTTACTTTGAAGATGTTATTGACTCCTGATGAGATGGTGCCTCGGTTCAAACGACAAACTTTCCTTTTCTAAATGACATGAATTTGAGGGCTACAATTTTCATCCACAAGAGACTTCTCAATGGCAGTAGACACTTACAAAGTCTAAATAATGTCTTTCAAATCTCCCATTCCCTGGATCATTAGACTATGCACTCATTCACAATAGGTGTCATCCTCATCTGTGCATCCCCCTTGCTTAACAAATGTCCTATTTCAGAAAAATTAAACAGACCAAAACTTGTCGAAACAAACATTGTGTCCAAGTAAATTCTCAGTACTATTTATATTTGCATTAAACTCACTGTGCTGAAATTGTTTGGTTAGTTAAGTGCATGGGTTCTCCAATTAGAGGGAAGTACTTAACATAATATGTGATTTTTTAAAATCAGTTCTCTACCTAAATACAGTATGTAAGTTTACGTTCTTCAGAAAATATAAGACACAACCATCAGAAGACCAAGAGATTTGTTGGGGTTAGTACCTATGAATGATAAAGGAGAGAAAGCAGGAGAAGGAAAGGACAATCTTCAGATCATGGTCTCAGGGTGGTACTTGTGTAATGGGAGGGGATAAAAAAAAGAATGGGTAGAAAGTGCTCCAAACCATGGTGCAGCTCTGAGAAAGTATCAGCCAGCTCAGTGGGAAACTCCATTGTAAAGATTGCTCAAAGGGGAATCACACTGAGCAAAAAAAACTACTTCCTACTGCTCTTCCTACGCTAAATCATTGGCTTATGCCATGTTGGAAGGCACGTCATCAACTTAAACACTGAGGCAGAGACCAAAGTCCCTGCAAATGGAAATTATTAGCTAAAGGTTCTTTACGTGGCAAGTCCTTTTGTGAAGGAACTCTGAATGGCACGACTTGATGGCTACCGAGTTCATCTGCCTTTATCCCTCAGCCCCATATCAGAAATGCTTTTTCCTGAATTTTCTGCTTGACAAACTTCTCTTCTGCCTTCAAACCTGTTTTCAAAGTTCCCACCATATATGCCTCTTTCCCTAACTTCACTAGTATGTTAAGTCTTCTATACTTATCTTTTTCCCTATGACTTTATACTCACCATTAATACAACCCATTTTATATGCATGGTAGTTTTATTTTAGAGCACGGTGGTGATGCAGACACCATTATATTGCAGAGAATGAGGCTAAGACAAAAAAAAAACAATTTAGACCTTATTAATGTCCAAGCAAGAGATGAATAAGACCTGAATGACAACAATAGGGTTTGTGGAAACACTTCAGAAAAAATATTAAAAATATAAGTCAGTAGACTGGAAATTCCATAAGGGCAAAGATTGTATTCTCTTGATTTTTGTATTCTTAGGAGTATCTGCACAAGGTTTTTCACTAACCCATATTTAGAAATATTGGTTAAATAGAAATAATTATTTAGATAATTTATTGTATTTCTATTCTCTTTTTCTCAAAGAAAAGTATTTTATGGAATAACCAATACAACCTATTGAAATTTTCATAGTTAGGAGCTAGGTTGCTTTGACTTTAATTTTCCTTGTATCTAGGAGAATACTTCAAATATATATATTTGAATATAATATACTAATTGAAAATAATATACTAATATATACAAATGTAATATATATTTGAATATAATATACTATTTCCATAATATACAAAGCAAACAACTTTATATGATGAATAACATAAATTATTATAATAAAAATGTTTAGAATTATGTAAGGTGCTATATGGAAAGCAACCAAAGAGATTGAAAATAATATGAACGTCATATTAAAAAAATTGAGTTTGCATCCAGTCTAAAACATATGCATTAAAGTTATTTAATCTCTCTGACAATTGGCTTCATTATCTGTAAAAAAGTTATAATATAGGCATTAAATTCCTAACCAAGTTAATATGGTTCTAAAATGAGATATAGTGCAAACATTGTACTACTATATTATTGGTAGTGACAGGAGACAGACAAATTCTTAGGGAGACAGGGATAGGTCCCTGGTAAAACCCGACCTTCAAGCCAAGACAGTGTAAAGCCTGAAAAATGAGCTGTCCATTTCAGATAGAGTCCACAACCGGAGTGAGAACTTCTATCCCTGTCTTACCCACTCTCACTGTATTAGTTCCTTCTGAATTATGCCTTTTAACAAATTGAATGGTGCTTTTTCCAAGACCGACTATGGACCAATCAGCATACACTCCCCCATAAAAATCCTGGATTCAGTCTCAAAGACACTGACCCACTTTTGGGTCCCCTCTAGTTGCCAAGAGTTTTCTTTCTGTTGTTCGGTAAAATTCTGCTCTGCCTTACTCACTCTCCAGTGGTCTTGTACCTTATTCCTCTTGGCCACAGGACAAAAACCTGGAACTCACCGAACTGTAGGAGTGAAAGAGCTGTAATGCTCCTGCTCTCTGAGCGGTGGGTGGTGGGAGCTGTAGCCCTCTCTTCTGCTCGCCAAACTACAGGAGTGAAAAAGCCACAACATTATATCAGCAAAATAATCTGAATCCTTGAAATACGACAGAATGATAACACTGGGGGGAATATCATATAGGAGAAAGAAATCCACCCAAGAGCTATCTTGGGCAATGATCTTAGTTCAACTATTATTAATTAATTATATATTAACACATAAATTATGTGTTAATTTGATTTTGTTTAAAAAGATACAAATAACTTCAGTCCAGTTGAACAAATGCCCTTAAAATTGATGGCTTCATTGGCCATTAACCAGTTTTATACTGAAACCAGTAATCTACCCTAATACTGTGTATGCATGGGTGTGTGTGTATGTGCATAGTGTATGTGACTTCACAATATGCTCTTTAAACAGGTCATAAAATCCTGTTGGTTCCCTTGCTAATTAATGAATTGACCAGAAACTTTGAAGTGGGTTCATATTATATACACATTGGAGTCATGGCTTTTAAACTTTTGAAAACTTATAGTTTAACAATAAAATGGAGTCAGGCTGCTTGTATTCAAATCCCTATTCTATCATTTTATAACTGGCTGACATTTAGTAAATTATTTAAGCTTTTTTAATTCACCTGTTTTTATACTTAAAATGAGGCCAACATTTCTTTGTTGATATGACTTTTAAAGGATTAATTATTATAATTTTTGTAAAGTTCTTAGAACAGTACCTGGTAAATGAGCAATCAATAAATGAATGTTTCTCCTTCTCCTTTGATTTTTTCTTCTTCTTCATCACCTTATATGAAGTTTATCTAAAACAGTTTAAAAATTGTTCATTTAACTATATTGTCTTTAGTCAGAAGACCTTTCCATAGATGTTAATAATAATATATTCATGTTTTTATTTATGAATTCTTTCTTTTGTCCCACCAAGACTATTAATTATGTACCTCCTGTTGATTAAATAAAATAAAATTGTTACAAGTTTTATTCCCTTGACTGTTGGTTGTAATTGCTGGAGGCACCATAACTACTTTGCTTCTAGAGTGTGATCTTTTGTCCAGCAAACAATCTCTTCGACACTGGCACATACTTATATCTCAAATTATAGTTTATCAGGAAATACCATGCATACCTTTAAATATTTTCATGACAAATATGCTTCTACATATGCTTCTAGATCTCTCCTACTGATGTTATATTCTAACAATATGTTTAGAGTTGTTTAAGTTTTTTGTCATTTCTTTGTATGAAAACAATTGAAAATAACAAACGAGGAAGTTAATCCTACAGTCACATGTAACACAGCTCATTTTTTCCACATTCGTATTCCTTGTAATTTTACCAGCTTTACTTTAATACTACTGCTATTACTTCTAGTAATAACTTACAAATACATGACACTTCACAGTCTTCTACTCTATAATCCATCATTTTAACAATGAGTACTCTGTAGTTTCACTAAGTTATTTTAACAATTCTGTGATTTATATTACTTGCATTTTAAAGATGCAGGAATTGAGGACCAGAGAGTTCAGCTGAATTGTCCCAGCTCACAGAGCTTGAAGGGGCAGAACCAGGAATTAAAACCAATCAGGACATTGGATTCCAATCCCTTTGCAAGCCATACTGCCCTGTCTTTTATTACAAAAACTGATGATAACTAACTCTCAGGAAAAGATGCTAGACAGGTTAACAATTAAGTTCAATAACCCTTTAAAGGTAACCAAAGCAATACCATATGTCCTAAAACTTAAAAATGTATCAAATATATCTATAATAAATCTCTTGTTTGTTTCTCAGAAGATCTTGCCAATTAGTGTGTAATGTTTTAATCTTTTTAATTTTTTTCAATGTCCCAGCATCTAGCCAAAAGGCAAGCATGATTTGAAACTAAGAATTGTACTAATGTTGGTATTTTAAATACAATAGCTTGGGTTAAATAAACTTTTTTATAAATTGTATTACCACTTGACCTGGCACCGAGATTTTCCTGGCACTTTCTTATTCAAATTCGATTTGCCTGTTTGGCAGTTCTTAGAGATTAACAGGCAGAATTATGTGGTTGGACACCAAGTAATGCTAGTAAGTATCTCTGTGACTATGTTAGCTCTGGAACAGGGCTTGTAAGTGATAAACAACTCCAGATAATAGTTTTACAAGCTGTGAGTGCTTTAAATCATTGTTTTCTATCACAGCATCAATGTTATCTCTAAGAAAAGGGTGATTTTACTTAGCATTTGTGAGCTTCATAGCCAGAGAGATAAACAATAAATGGGCTAGACAAAAAAGTGTGAGAGACATAAGGATGGCTTGATTTTAAAGTGGTAAGTACATTATAGTAAGTAAATTATAGAAATAACCAGGAGTCTTAAAAATGAATGTCAAAGTATTCCAAATCTGAAGATTATTAGCCCTTATAATGGATTTATTTTCATTGGTTAATTTTCAAGACTCTTTCAAAAACAAACAAGCAAACAAAAAGGAAAAACAGAACAGAACTTATATAGCAGGCCAGGTTACATTTGCTTTATCTTGCACCTGTAGTAATGTGGAATAACTTCTCCAAATGACTTTCTATTTGTAGAAAAACTCTTCTCTCAAAATTTCACATTACACACAAGACCTCTTCCTGCAGACACTACAATATTGATATTTTCCAGTGGATTCATGTAACAAAGATGTTTTACAAACTTATTTCTTCCAAAGTAGCATTTGTTTATTTTCAAAGAAACTGTCTCTCAGTTGAATGTCATATTGATAATAAGTAATAATCTGAATTTTCTTATGGGTACAACATAAATTATAGTCACTTTCTCCATGAAGAGTAAACTCATAGAAATTTTTTTATCCTTAATTAACTGGTGATTTTTCACTGTTTAGTTGCTTCAGAAAACAATTTTGCAAGATAAGTGAAGGGAACAACTCTTCTTAACAGTTCACTTATGTCTCAGAAGAGAAAGAAAAACATATTGCTGTCAAAACAGCAAATAGAAAACTCCATGATGGCCTTTTTCTTCAACACACAAACTAAACCCCAAATTCTTCTATAAAGAAACTCAGAGTAGATGAAAACACATTGTTTTTTCAGTATATTGTGAGGCATTTTATCCTCATGTTTGTAACTCTTCTAGTCAATAAAACCAGAAGTGGGAAAATCGATTGTCCTTACTATCAGTCTTCAGAATTACAACTCTCTGTAAATGATCCACTGCTTTATAGTCTCTTTTTTTTAAGGTTTTAGAAATTTAAAAAGTATTAGTTAAAAATATGCAATCCTCCCCAATTAGAAACAATATACCACCTGGTAAGATGGGCTGGGAAGTTGCAACAATTTGTGAGGCAAAGTAAGTTACACCTATAGCCTAATTTTTACAGTGGTAAATAAGAAACATTTGTGTAAAAAAGTGATATATTCATATGCGACTCTGCATTTTTGCTGGAAAAAACAAACAAACATCTGTCCATACTTAGGTCTTATATAATAGCACTATTTTCTGTTGAGAAATAAAGCCAATGTAATTTGAAATGTCTGTGCTAAATAATAATGAGACTGCACATATTTTTATATACTTATATTAAACTTCTTATTAATATAAGTACAGTATATATTTTCCCATAATTGTGTTATACAATACAAAGAACAAACAAGAATTCTACTTGCTCAAGAAAATATTTGCTTCTGGAATGCAGAACTGCGTGTGAACCAACTAAAGTGGCTTGCTTATCAAGTCCAACAGTCTAATGTCTAACACCAAAACTAGTTTTCAAACCTTTGTTTCATTGTACCACTAAACCAACCCAACTATATCATAACATTTTCCCAGAATCAATCAGTACTCTGCCTTGAGGGACTGTTTCTGTTTTGTGTTGCAATAACAGAATGCTGGAGACTGGGTAGTTTATAAACAAAAGAGGTTAAGTTATTTGGCTCACAATTCTGGCATCTGGACGGTTCAAGATAGAGCATTTGTATCTGGTGAGGGCCTCAGGCTGTTTTAACTCATGACGGAGAGTGGAAGGAGAGCCAGCATGTGCAGAGATCAGATGGCAAAAAAAAGGGAGGAAAAAACAAAACAAAACAGGAAGCCAGAATCTTTTTAACAACCCACTGTCTCAGACTATTCATTTCTGTTAAAGTGAGAGCTCACCACAATGGGAGGGCATTAATTTATTTTCAAGGAATCGGCCCCCTATTACCCAAATAAATAAAATAAACATTTTCTGCCAAAAATATGGAGTAACAAAAAAATCCTTTATCTGATAGCATAGCTCAGTAATTTGCAAAAAGCACAACTGCTTGGAAAATTCCTGGCACCATAAATGTCTGATTCTTTCATTTAATTATTAAGTACCAAGTATATACTGGATAGCATGGTAGGAACTATTAATAAAATAAAGAATAAAGCTGATTCTATCCCTTCTTCATAGAATATAAAGTTTGTGTATATACTACCATCTATAACATATAGACAATTAACATACAACTCAATTCTGTAGTTAGCTGCTTAGTAACTATTAAATTGTGAGCATATCACAATCTGTCTAAACTTTACTCTCTTCACTTGCAAATAAGATTGACAATAATTGCTTTATAAGGTTTTTGCATGATTGAATGCATTGAGTTATAAAAAGGATTTAAAGCAATGTCAGGCACATAGTGGGCCCTCAATAAAATATAATGTTAATATTTAAAGGACAAAGAACAGAAATTAATATTGAAATAATTGCAAATTATATTGATCTCTGTAAAAAAAAATAAATTAAGAGGAAATAGGGAGACAAGACTGTATTCAAATGAGATTTCATCTGTGAACTTAATAGTGCAGTTGCTACTCAAGGTGTGAGTAGAAACAAGCCATAATAAAAAGAGGGTGAGAAAACCCTTCAGGTAGAAGAAAAACTAGTATGTGTAAAGGCCCTAAAATGAGCATGGAAGAGTCTGCAGGATTTAATGACAGTCCATTAAAGTTAGATCTTAATGAACCAAGTGAGATAATTAACTACCAGGACCATCAGCAAGCCCTAATTTTTGAAAAGGCTAACAAGTAAAGGGGTAGGGTGGAGTGGGCACAGGCATTGGTCAGCTCAGTCCTTGGTACTTAATTTCACCAAACACAAATGTGTCACCAAGTTGGACTGTTAGCTATACTCTCAAACGACATCCATGAATGAAGGTAGGAAGATTCCAATTAAACAAAAAGATTCCATCCAATTTGGCCAACCTGTAGCAGAACATACGGCAAAGGCTGTAGAACTCTTAGTACACACTCTTCTTTCTTTTCCTTTTCTTTTCCTTTCTTTTCTTTTCTTTTCTTTTCCTTTCTTTTCTTTTCTTTTCCTTTCTTTTCTTTTCTTTTCTTTTCTTCTCTTTCCTTTTTTTTTTTGTTGTATTGCTGACTACTCTGATTCTGATCTCCTTTGCCTGAAGCAAGGTAGAGGCAGGCTTCATGAACATTTTCTACTTTTCCATTCTGTATGAGAAACTGAATTCAAAGGTACTAACTTGATTTAAAGTGTAAATAGGTAATGTTGCTGAAATTGAATTCCATTTTAAAAAACACTAGTGGTTAGAAATTCATAATATAAGATGGTACTAGAAGTAAACTCTACATAAACTTCATTCCATTTTATTTCTCTAGAGGTAAAAGTTTAGAACCACTTTTGAGAAAGTTGGATATATCAAAATTCTCAGGCAAATCTGTGCAATAGTTTATAAAAGTGCTCAATGTTTTCCTATTTACTTTTTGTAACTGCCTAGCAAAGTATCTATATTTAGTATTTAATAAATTAATTATTTATATTTGGTATGATAAAAGTCTCTGGATTACAAATTGGAATACAAATCAATAAAATAATCCATTCCTTTTAGAATTTTTTGTTCTATACAATCTTATGGATCTTGAGGAAATTCTATTATGCCATAGGAGTTTTGCTCCATGATTATTATTTAATTAAATTCCCATCATCCAGGTCAGAAAGGCTTTATAAAAATTAATACTGCATACCTATGTATACTAAAATAATAAAAAACTATGGAATGTATGTCTTGGAATAGCTCACTTCTTTCCCCCTAAAAACACAAATTTTGCCTTCAGAACTACACAGTCAAAATGTTACCCTTTACTCAATCCAACATCCCTATCTTCACTAATTAATTGTGTTCTCTGTTGAAGGCCAGAATATTTGTTCAAAAATCTTACACATCTCCTATGCAGGACTCATCAGGGAAGCTTGGCATACCTGAGCCAAAAAGTGAAATACTATTTCTTTACCCTAGAATTGACAAGGTTATTTTGTCTACACAATACTTTTATTGGTACATTAAAAGTCTGTATGTCAAGGGTATATGAGTTTATTAAAACTATTGCACCAGTTGAACACACTAGGAGAAAATCATAATATGTGTTCAAAGTATGGAGATTTTACACACATATATATGAAGGGTCTTCAAAAAGGTCATGGAAAATACATATTATCAAAACATTATATATGGATTTCAAAAGTTTTTGACTAAAATAAACTCATACTAAATTGTTATTATGTGCCTGAACAGGATCTAGTTTGAGGCACTAAGAATAAAACATCAGTTTGAGAAGAGCCCCTATCAGAGCAATATGAATTCTGCTGCAATTGAAGCAAGGACACACACTAAATTTATGATAAAGCTTAGATAGAAGAGTAGTTCCTTACAAAAAATTTATGAGCACAATGATCTCAAAGAACTTGGCAGTTTACAAATAAATAATTCATTTTAAGAAGGATCTAGATGATGTTGAAGATGAACCCCATGGTGGCAGAACATCCTCATCAATTTGCAAGAAAAAAATTCATCTTGTTTTTGCCCTAATTGAAGAAGACTGATGATTAATAACTGAAACAAGAGCCAACACCACAGACATCTCAATAGGATGAGCTTACACAATTCTGAATGAAACATTAGGGCTGAGCAAACTTTCCACCCGAGCAGTGCCAAATTCATTGCACTCAGATCAGCTGTAGACAAGAGCATAGCTATCAGTGGGAATTTTAAAGATCCTGAAGCTCATAAAAGATTTCTTCAAATAACTGTGTCAGAAGATGCAACATGGCTTCATCAGTGTGACCCTGAAGAAAAAGCACTATCTAGTCAATGACTAACAAGAGTTGGACTAGGTCTAGTCAAAGCAAAAGTGAACCAGTCAAAAGCAAGGGTCATGGCAACAAGTTTTTGGGATGCTCAAGGCATTTTGCTACTGACTTACTGGATGGCTGGCTGAAGAAGGGTATCATCTGATTATCAGGAAAGTGTTTTGAGAAAGCCAAAGCTTTAACAGGAAAACTTTACCAGAGTCTTTTTCCACCACGGGAATGCTGATTGTTCCTCTCATAAGACAAGGGCACTTTTTCAAGTTTCTGTAGAAAATCATTAGGCATCTACCTTATAGTCTTGATTTGGCTCCTTCTAATGTATTCTTGTTTCCTAATTGTTAAAAATCTGTAAAGAACAGAGACAGGAAGGAGGTAGTCAGGGGATGGTCAATGGGTACAGAAAAGATAGAAAGAATGAATTACACCTAGTATTTGGTAGCACAACAAGGTGACTATAGTATGTATACATGTAAAATTTAATTGTGTATTTGAAAGTAATTAAAATGTATCGTAACACAAAGGATAAATTCTTGAGGTGATGGACACCCTATTTACCTTGATGGGATTATTATGCATTGTATGCCTGTATCAAAATATCTCATGTACCCATAAATATACACACCTACTATACATCCACAAAAATTAAAAATTAAAATTTAAAAATCTGTAAAAGAAACATATTTTTTCAGTTAATTATGTAAAAAAGATGACATTGACATGATTTAATTCCTAGAATCATACTTAGTTCTTTAGGGATGCACTAAATGGCTGGTATCACTGTTTAAAAAAAATCTTGAACTTTACAAAGCTTATGTTGAGAAAGTTTATATTTATATTATCTTTTAGGTCAATTTTTGTTAACTTTTTAAAGTCCCGACGTGTGTGTGTGTGTGTGTACTTTTTGCTTGAACACAAATATCAAATCTTTATTACAGAAAGTCTCTTTTTCTTTCAAAGAATTGGTGTTTGCTTTTTTTTTTTTTTTTTTTTTTTTTTTGAGACGGAGTCTTGCTCTGTCGCCCAAGCTGGAGTGCAGTGGTGCCATCTGGGCTCACTGCAAGCTCCGCCTTCCGGGTTCATGCCATTCTCCTGCCTCAGGAGATCGAGACTATCCTGGCAAACATGGTGAAACCCCGTCCCTACTAAAAACACACACAGACACACAAAATTAGCTGGGCGTGGTGGCGGTAGCCTGTAGTCCCAGCTGCTTGGGAGAATTGGTGTTTTTAACTTAATAAATTATAAAATATGTCTATTTTCTTTGTTTCCCTAGTTTTCTCTTCTTCCTTATAATCAATAGTCTTTCTACAGTGGTGATATTTTACATACAATTGTTATTTCTATTGCAAAAGATGGGCCCAAATAAATTATGGGAAGAAAATAGATTCTCTACAATGGGAAAAATACATTCACTACAATGAGAAAAAAAATAGATTCTCCTTAGAACTTCCATCTCTGTCTCTTTCTCTGTCTCTCCCTCCGTTTCTTTCTTACACAATGAATTCCTTTAATTTTCAATAGAGAAACGGCATAGGGTAGGCTATTGCACTTATAAACAACCTCCAAATTGAGACAACTCAACATTTTCATTGGTTTCATGCAAAGAAATGACTAATGGCCCATCTCAATGGATAAGTGGGGCACGGGCTCTGCTCATGGAATTATACAAGGACTCGAGATTTTTTTTTTCTATGAATGTTCTTGGGCGAAGTCAACCTGCACTTTACCTTCTGAATCTAGCCAGCTGTCAAGGGATGATAGATGGACTGTATAAGACTTTCTAATATTCCAGGTCTAGAGGTGGTATACATCACCTCTGCCACAGTGTATTGGCCAGAACCCAGTCTCATGGTTCTGACTAGCTGCCCGGAAGACATGAACACTTGCTTCACTGTGTGCCAAGAGGAAAAGCAGGGAGAATTTGGTGAACCTGTATTATTCTTTAAGATGGGGTCCTTGTGGATTATCCAACCCGTTGATGCATATATTACAGTTCACTTCATTACAAGTGAAATGAGTTGGTTGAGATAAGAATACATATTGATCTGCACACAGTTGTGTCAACAAAGCTGTGGAAAAGTGATACCAATACATCTGCTTTCATAAGCTAACACTAGCAAGCTTTAATGCATTTCAAAATGTAGGGAATGGAATACTTTTACAAAGGGGAAAATTGGTTAGAACATAGAACATGGCACAAATGTACTAACAAAAATATTAGTCACCCCTGTAATACGACTAAGGTTCAAAGTTAGTTTTTCTGCATGCGAAATGATGGACTAACTTTATCTCATCTCATTGTCATCACTTTCATCAACCCCATTTTACAGATAAGAAAAATTGTAATATAGGAAGTTTAGGGACACAATGTAAAGCAACACAGCAAGTATCCCTTAAAATAGATAGTCAAACCGGGTTCATAATAAAAGATTTTAACCAGAGTGCTACCTTGCTTTGCATAATACCTCTCCTCACCACCATACACACACACACACACACACGCACACGCACACATACACCACTCACTTTATGTATACCTATAAAAATATGTATTCAAGAATTTGCATTAAGTAATTTTGGATTATGAATACAGTTTCAAGTATGCCCTACTGTTTCCTCTCCGGGTAGAATCAGAGAGGAGTAGCAGTCCTAGTAGAGTAGCAGTCCCCAACCATTTTGGCGTCAGGGACCGGTTTCGTGGAAGACGATTTTTCTATGGACCGGGGTCCAGGTGTGGCGGAGAGATGGTTTCAGTATGTTTCAAGTGCATTTCCTTTATTGTGCACTTTATTTCTATTATTATTACATTGTAATTTATAATGAAATAATTATACAACTCACCATAACATAGAATCAGTGGGAGCCTGAGCTTGTTTTCCTGGAACTAGATGGTCCCATCTAGGAGTGATGGGAGACAATGACAGATCATCAGGCGTTGGATTCTTATAAGGAGCACACAACCTAGATCCCTCATATGTGCAGTTCAAAATAGGGTTCACGGTCCTATGAGAATGTAATGCTGCTGCTGATCTGACAGAAGGTGGAGCTCAGGCAGTAATGAGAATGATGGGGAGCAGCTGTAAATACAGATGAGGTTCCCTGACTGCTAACCCACCCACGCTCACCTCCTGCTGTGTGTCCTAGTTCCTGACAGGTCACAGACTGGTACTTGTCCATGGCCCAGGGTTGCGACCCTTGATTTAGAGAATGTAGATTTTAAAGTTATTTACCATAGTTCCAAGAGTCACCTTATGAGAAATTTAGCCTGGCCAAATACCTTCGACTCTCAGAATGTTAGTTCATGTATCATTCATCTGAAACTTGTAAATGTTTTTCTTAAAAATGTATAATCTCTACTTGAATGTTAAAATCACGAAGGAAGGGATTGTGCTCATCTTCTTCCAAGTTATATTCTCAGAGCTTAACAGTGTACTTGATAAGAATAGAATGAATAATAAAATAATTAAATGAATGAATGACTAGATGCAGAGAATACAGTGCTGTGATATAGACAATATGCATAATTTCTCCCACAAGGAGTTAGTGTTTTATCTCAGAAATCAGTTAAGCAATTACTACACCTGCATATTATGTCAAGGAAGTAGGTTTAAATGTGAAAGTAGACCACAGTAATCTGCAAATCACCATGTAAACGTGAATCATTCTTTTATATTATCACTAAAAATAAATATACCTAACACATCTGCCCATTTAGCTCAGCCAGTAGGAAAGGTTTCAATGAGCTGCAAGCAATAGTTTTGCCTTAAGGAAATGTTACCCTATCTAAAAGTAGCTTTCAGAGAGAATGAGCTGTACTGCCACTGGTCACAAAAAGAACCCAAATGAGAAGCCAGTTCCCACCTCCACTGCAAGTATAGACTGTGTTCATAACAGACAGTCACACAACTCTACACGGAAAGAATTAACAGCTTTTTGTTATTTGTAGATATTTCACTGAGGATGTGTTTACAATTTCTAACGAATAGAGAGAAATGTCACAGAATACTTTTTTTCCTCCAAAGTCAGTAAGGAGTGTACTTCATAGTAAAATTTTTGATATTTACTGCCAACTATTTCTTAGATGTTGATTTTTAATTTTTTTCAATATTGCCTAGCTTTGTTGTTCAAATGTTACCTTTGTTTCCAAACTATTGTTTCAGAAGCACAACTCCTTTTTCTTTGTTCTTTTTTTAGTCATTCATAAAGTGACAAGGAGAAAGTCCTAATAAAATTGTCCCACTAAACACAAATTAAAGAAACAAATAATGTTACTTTCCCCTCTTATCTCTGGTTATATTATTTATGAGTTGCTAAAACCCTTTTCATGTGCAAACCATGCCTTCAGACTTTGCTGATAGCATGTACACTAAGAAAATAAAACAATGCAGTAAAAAATAATAAAAATGGTCCTTCTAGTTTATTGACTTGACTTTATAAAATTGATGCTGTATCTAGGACTTTTCTATTTAGTCAATTCCAGATAAGTAAGTTTATAAACTTGTTATAGCATTTTAAGCGTGTTTAAATTTATTCCAAAAATACTTCATTTATCTACCATTTTCACTCACCATTTTACTAATCACTTTGAAATTTCAAATGATTTAGAAGTCTAACCATAATTGATGGAAAATTTTCAGATTGCTATATACAGAGAGATATAATGCATTGACAAAGAATGCACAAAACTCATTTAAGTTTTCTTGACAGATCCAAAATATAATAGAATGAGCATGTATTACTGTACATTTTGATTATGCAGTACTTTTGGTATTGTCTTCTAAGCCAAAACATTAAGTTATTATTGATAACTTTGATTACTGATTCTTGCTGGTAGTCTTTCTAATTTTTCTTTTCCAATTTGCAAACTTCTTGAAAAATCAAATGTATGCAACCTGTTGTGGTGAATTGATTCTAGAAACAAACCCCTTGTTTGCAACTCCTTAAGTCATTGGGAGAATTTTAGAAACATCACTCATTTTCTCTTGGAATCTTTTAAAAATTTGTCTTCATGAATTTCTAGCACATTGTTACAGTTGAAATGTGCCCTGCCAATATAATGTGACCTTTTAAAAAATGCATAACTTGCTTATTCTTTGTTAGATTTTTATTTTTATTTTTCCATTTAGCTAAGAAATTTTACCTGTATATGTCACATATGAGATTTTGTTTTGTTTTGGTTTGTTTGGTTTGGTTTTTTGATCATTCTCACTGAGACTTGGTGGAACTTTCAACCCGAACTCTAAAGTTATTCAAGTAAAGAAAGATTGTCCTGTGTTTTCTTTTTATTATTTCTTTCATCTCTGACTTTCTGTATCTCTCCGTTTCTTTAATCTTCCATTCTATTTAATTCTTTGTCTTTTTATGTTTTATTTCACATCCAATATATCATTTTAGTCTAATATTTAGCCATGTCCATCCCTTATTCCATTAATTTTTGTTTTACTTTTCAAGTCGTGTTTTTAAATAGTAATTTTTAAAATTTTTCTTGTATGAAACCTGCATTTGAACATCTAACATTCTTGCTATTTTCTGTGAAGATACTATCTGCAATTTATTTTAAAACATTTAATGCTTTCTTTACAGGTATTAATTATGTTTTCTCAAGAGATTTTATTTCTCCTTTTTATGATCGGAGAGCTTCGTTTCCTCAGAGGTTTTATTTCTCCTTTTTATGATCGGAGAGCTTCTTTCACAGTCTTGATTTTCCTAAAATGTTTTATCATTTTTGTTTATAAATCATCAGTATTGATAGCTGGCATATATCTCTTTAGTCCAGTAGTTCATCATTGGCTTCCTTGATGGGATTTTTGGTTCTAATTAGAGGAGCTTGACACAAGAGATAGTGCAGGGATCTGGGCTGAAGAAGAGAAATGTGAAAACAGGCTTTTCCTCCAGCATGGTTGCTTATATTCCAGTTATGGTTTTATCTTGGTTCCTTGGATGGCTCTCAGTTATCTTGTATGTGGCTATGCTTGGCATCTACTCTGTGAATCTCTTGCCTCAAATATGCATACTTAATTTAGACAATTACTCTGCTTGGTTGCTTATTGCTAATTTGGCAGGGCACTGCCACCTTCTACGCTTTGGAACAATAGGTCACAGAAATCTCATTTCTGTGTGCTCCCCAGTTGAAGTTTTTCAATGACAGGAACTTCCTCAAGACTGAAGAGGCAGCTGAGATAAAACAGATTTTATTGTTTTCCAGAGGTGATGACAGCTAGACACATGGGTAGAGGAGAGAGTCCCAGCAGCTCCTAGCAAGCTTTGGAGAATATCTCATATCATGCTGCAGACTTACATCTGGGAGCTTCTCAGAGATACTTGAGAATTGCTATGGATTCATGCTAGCTTTGTAAGAACCATTCACTTTGATCATTCAAGCTGAAATATTCACAATCAAGTAATTGACTCTCAAGAGCAGCTTCTATGAACTTCTTACCCCTCCAGCTTTTCCAAAAGTCATAAAAGCCATTTTATTCATATAATACATGGAATGGTTTCTGTTTTTCTTACTGAACTCTGATAAATCCGACAGCAGATTTAACTTGAAGGCAAATATTTTATTTTATTTTAGTTGCTTTAGAAATAAGAGAATAAGAGTATGAGTAGCCTTTTAATTAGTTCTTGAATGAATACCCCAATATATCCATACTATATGTATGTATATATACACACACTTATATATGTATTTGTATACGTGTGCATATATACATATATGTATATACGATGTCATATATAATATTTATATAAAATATGTATTGCATATTTATATATATATCATATACAAAATATATATGATATTTATATAGATCTCATATAAAAGATATAATATTTATATAAATCATATATATAACATGTATATGAGATATATATATATATGTACTTTTTGTTTGACAGTCCTCTCTTTCACCCACGTAAGATGTCTGCCTTCTAGTTCTTACGGAAAGTTTTAAAAAATTGATCCTAACATGTCTTTCAAAATATAAGAAATTCCTCTTCTGTTGATGGTGTTTTCTCAAGATTTCTAGTCCTATATCTGATCTATATTATTTTTTATGCATTACATCATTTCAACAGGACATCAGAGGGAGGATTAATAAATACTTGTGTTTAGTAAGCCACCTTAAACGGCAAACCAAATCTGTATACTTAACTTTCTTATCCTGCTCTTTTAAAAATATCAAAATATATGATGATAATTTAGCTAAATGAGATTAATAGTGTTTCATACTACTTCTTCTTCTCTGAAAACTCAGGATGTACATTGGTATATTATAAAATATAAGAAGTGTTACAATAAAAATAACAAAATCTATAAAATTGTATTTAACACGAAAGATTTCCAAACTTATTTGGACAGCTTAGCATAAATATAGCATTCTGAAATATAGTATACATCAAAACATGTATATTTAACATTAATACAACATGAAGATTATTTAGATATTAATTTTGATGTGAGAAGACTATATAATGGTGTTGACAGATTTTTCTGGAGTAGTAAGTTTAATGACATTTGAAAAGAACATTGGGGCAAGAATACTTAACATACCTGATGTATATCTATGTATATTTAATTAGCACCAAAATACAGTTTCACATAGTTGATATTTCCATTTCATTTCTTAAAGAAACTGACATACTGGTTACTAATGAGGGAATAAGTAAGTATGGAAAAATACAAAGGAATCCTAAAAACTTATTAAATCTCATCACAACATTTTCTGATTCTAGTAATTATGCTTTTATTGTTCTGATTGTTTGAATTGCATCTTTAGCTTTAACAATCCCAGGGCATCAGTGCAGTTAAATATTAACTAAATTATTTAGAACAAACAGCTGCAACAATTAATAAAACATCAGAACAATGTGAAAATAGCAATAATATCTCAATATTTTAAAAGGTTGTATAATACCTTAACACAGAGATCATTAACCAATGTGACTAATAAAGCTAAGTTTTGGACTCCATAATGTGTAAAAATATACTTCCATCATGTACAGTATGTTGATAAATTTCCTATTAATTGCACTCCTACATTTACACTGAAAGTAATGTTTGCTTGTAAGAGTCACAAAGTGATACATCAGTTCTATTTCTATCCAAAAGTGCCTTCTTGAGGTACTGAAACTAGAAAATTATTTCATTTGTAGTCTTACTTGAAGAAACTGTAATATGTTTATTCCACTCCATGACCTTTACATAATAAGCAACAATTATCTACTGAAGATTCTGTTCTTTATTTCTTTTTCTGTGGCAAGCAAATTCTTACCATATCTTTCACAATTCTCTCAAAAATGTTCTATATTTCCGTTTTCTCTGTGTTACTTAGTTTGGGATCTCATTTTTCTCTCACCTGCATGAATATAATATCCTCCTAATGATTTGTTGTGGAGGGCCTCTCCTATTAATAATGAATTTTCCACACTGACTATAGTATTCTTTATTTTTCCAAAAAAAAATGCTTTATGAAATTCCTATCTAATCTAAAAGTATTTTTTTGTTTGCATTTGCTTTTAGGCTATGTTTCAAAATCATTTGCAAGGCTTATTAGATGCCACACAGCATGATACTCACATTTCTTTATTTGTTAAACAAATATTTTTGAGTTTCTGCTGTGTTCCAGGGAACATTACAGGTGGTAGGGATTGAGTTATATACAGGACAGAGAAAATAAGCAATTAGAAACTGTGATGGTCTTTTGGTGGATCAACTTGGCTAGGCTAGAGTTTTCAGTTATTCAATCAAACATAATCTATGAGTTGATGTGAATATATTTTGGAGATATGATTAAGGTCTCATTATTACACAACTTTTTGTAAGTTAACTTTAAGTAAGGGAGATTATGCTTGATAAAATCTGTGTGTGTGATTAAATCAGTTTGAAGACCTTTAAGAGCAGAGGTGATGCTTCCCTGATTGAGAACTCTGCCTGAGGATGACACTTTTAGTCTTGCTAGACAATTTCAAGTTCCAGCCTGCCTTTCCTCAAGGCTTGCCTATCAGCAGGATTTTGAACTTGCCTACCAGACCATAATCCTCTTAGTCAATTAGGTGTGTGTGTGTGTGTGTGTGTGTGTGTGTGTGTGTATATATATACCCTTAAATCCTACTGGTTCTGCTTTTTTTTTTTGGTGGAAACATTGCTGATAGAGAAACAAAAACATCTTGAGCAAACAAGTAATAAAATGGACAACATAATTTTTATTGTGCTTAGTGCCATAATAAGAATGAAGCACAGCAATAGAAAGTCATTGACTTTGTTTATTGCTCTTATTCCATTTGTATTTTAATGATGATGATATCTGATGAGCTACCTCCTTAGCTTAACTTTTGCTAAACATTTTTAGTTCGCATGATCTGCACAAAATGTCCTCCTGTCTATGGCTACAATATTAGTAGTGAAAACAATGCTGGCAATTTTGGCAGATGTTTCTTAATTGTTCAACACATTTCAGGCACTATAATAATCGCTTCACAAATACTATTCTTTTGATCTTCTTAACAGTATTATGATGTAGGTATTGCTGTTTTTCTTATGTTTCAGGTGAAAACCAGAAATATGTGGAGGTTCAATTTACCCAAGGTTACCCAAGTAGTACATAGTATAGGCAATATTTGAATCTGATCCTTAACCAATAAGAGATTCAGCCCCACTTTTTATTTTTTATTTTTATTTTTGAGACGGAGTCTCGCTCTGTCACCCAGGCTGGAGTGCAGTGGCACAATCTCGTCTCACTGCAACCTCCACCGCCCGGGTTCAAGCGATTCTCCTGCCTCAGCTTCCTGAATAGCTGGGATTACAGGATTTGGCCCATTTTTATGTTTAACTTGGTAGGAATATTTCAACTCTGACATTTGTGAGAACTATTTTCTAAGGATCTAAGGTAACATAACCTATAACCATAGTAAAAAATTGCTTATGATTAGAAACATATCACAGTGCAATTTAAAAAGCAGCTCTTCTGTCAAACCTTTCCAAATCCATCAGCCAGAGTCAGTCACCTTTTTCTAGGAATCATCATAATACTCTGTACTTACCTCTATTTCAGCTTGGGAATGAAATGGCATATTTATTATGTATTTCTCTTGATTAGGCTATATGCTGTTTGAGCTCTCTATCTTTATTTGGCTCAATAACCATTCCAGTGCCTAAAATAATTCTTGAAGTAGTCAATTAATATAAATTTCATAAAATAAATTTAAAACTTGGAACTTTTTGATTACCTAGTTATATGAAGTAAACTACTACTAAAAGGAAGAAGAGAACAAAGACGCCAGGTCTATTCTGACTGATATACATTCCCCAGGAATTAAGAGTATATAATACTCATTACACTTTTTCTTCTCTCCAAATGTAAACATTTTTTCTATCTCTTCTATTTTAATGGTCATGAATTTTGGCAGGGGTTCCTTTAATACAAGTCTCTTCATGTCTTATAAAATATTCAATGCTAATATCCCAAAGACTATGACCAAGGACCAAGTAGTTTTCAGCTTTTTTGAGTAGGAAACTGTGGCAGCAAATTTTACAAAGATAGCCATACAAAATATATATTCTGATCCAAAGTACCTTTTACTGGATGACACTGACATTCTTCAATAGAGAGGAGGAGTCCATGTTTATTCTCCTTAAATCTGAGTGGACCTTTGTAACTGCCTTAACTAATATGATGGAAATGACATCGGGTGACTTTGTGACTGCCAAGGCTAGGTCAACACAAGCAATGCTGCCTCTGTCTCTCACTCTATTACAATGATTGCCCTTGGAACCCAGCCACCAGCTTGTGAGGAAACTGCAGTCATATGGAGAGGACACTTGTAGGTGTTCCGGCAAACAGCCCAAATGAGATCATCAAGACATGCACACATCAAGAACCAGACATGAGAGTGGATGAGAATGAAAGTGACAGCAGCCTTCAGCCTGTATGTCTTTCAGCTGATGCCACAGGCATCTAGAGCAGAAATAAGTTATGTTCCTTCTGGATTTCTGACCACATAAATTGTAAGACATAATAAATGATTACTGTTGGTTTAAGCCACTAAGTCTGGGTAATTTATTAAACAAACTGGGACAAAAGTATGATAAAGAATATGTTTTATATTGTAACCCAAAACACACACACACACACACACACACACACACACACACACACACACAGAAAGCAAACTGTCCTAACAAATACTTAATGAACAGTTTAATATAACTGCTCTATTTTATTGTTCATATTATTATATATCTATTGCTTCTTAATTTATTAGATGCGTATTCCATTTAATACATTGATTTAATGACAGAATATTAGGTCACAACTTGTAGCTTGAGGAACATGGTTTTAATAAAAAATAAGTTTAAAGAAAAAATTATAAATAAAAAAATTTCATGAAGTGGAAAAAAATGAAGGTTGTTGCCAGACTGCTATACTTTTCTTTAAAAAGAAAATATGTCTATACTACAACCATGATCAAAATATTTCCTCAGAAACATAAGCGTAAACAGCTCTAGGTTTATGAACTCCTGGAGGTGAAAATCAAACTTGGGCAGATTGGCTTTGACCTTTGGATCATATATTCTTGTTCTGAATAAATTTATTTTAAGCTTGAAAAGATTGCCTTGTCTGATTCATTTTTAAGTGCATGCTCTGGTGAAAAGTAATAAATGGCTTTTAAGGAGGTTTATAAGACTAAGACCTTTGAACTCTTAAGATTGACTTGTGTTATTGGTCAAGGAAATCACAGCCAAAGCATCACTAATAGAATCAGGTCTCTAAGAATATTTTTAGCTTAGGGCTGTTTATGGCTATTAGTACCAAGTAGAAAAGGGAAGACAATTAAATTTTTAATGTAAAGTCTTATTACATTGTTGAATAAATGCCTGGAAAGAAGAGAAGATGGAGCAAAAGAAAGAAACAGAAGAAGGAAAGAAAGAAACATCATTCTTTTTTACAAACTGAGGCTTGAAAAGTTGAAAATTCTACTTAATCCATGAAGTCAGGCAAGGTCTTCTTATCTTGCCTTAAAAGGGAGCTATTTTAGCTTTCTTCCTTTCCTTAAGTTGTTAATGTTTAGCAAAACTTAAGGCCAGAGTCAATCGACAGGAAATGTGCTATCTTCTGGGTATTGCATAAATGGGAAAAATATTTGGATTGCAAATTCATGACTAATAATCTCATTTCTGACTAGTGCTCTTGTTTTTATTTTCATATTTACCTTTAAATCTTACAAAGTTCAAGATGTTTTTATTAAAGTTCTACCATCAAGACGGTAATCATATAGTTTTCAAGATATTTTTAGATGTGCTAATGAGGAGGACTGAGATCAGTAAAACAGCAAGCATCATTAAAAATTAGATTTATTTGGCAATATCAATGGTATTTATTCGGGTTTTTTATTTCATCAGTTTGGAACATATTTTTTCAATGCTAATCAGATTGCTTTGAGTATATCTGTACTTTTCTCTCCCTCACACGTATGTGTACACACATATCTCTAGCTTAATGCCAGAGCAGCTGAGATTCCAGGATTTGAAGTGAATTAGAAAATCAGTTTGACATAAGTCAGAACTTGATAATAGAACCCCTGAGTTAAATTCATCCCTCAAAGAGTATTGACCATAAAGATTTAAGCTAATGGTTGGTGGTGGTTGGGTGGGGTAGGGGGGTCATGGGTCCTAAAACTTCTGAATATGTTTTAGGAAAGGAAATGGGGAAAGGAATTGATTACATGACACATTTTTTAAATGCATAAAACAGGAGCCAGCCAAGCTAGCTCAAGAAAAGGAATAAACTTGAGTTTCATAAAAATATGGAATTGATGGAAGTCAATGACAGAAAGTGAGAGGGTGAACTAGGAAAATCTCAGCCATCAGACATTGCACCTGTTAGAGTGAACCTGTTAGAGTATAGTAATGCTCTGTCCCTGTATGCCAGAGACCATTTTTGTTGGTTCTTCGTTTTCTTATGCTTTTTGTTAGATTTTTTTTTGTCCACTCCTTCTTTTCTCAAAACGCCAGATTCAGAGTAAATTGCTTTCACTCAGAATTTTGGCTTACCTTTGACTTCGCTTTGTGTGTTGCTTTGGGTGTATTTCACTTGTCAGAACAAAGGCAATTGTGTCTCTTCGTTAAAATATGGAGATGAAGGTGGAAGAGGGGAAGGTGAAAGAGAAAGACTGGGTTATCCATTAGTTAGATGCCAAATCAGTATAGTACACTCATTTATGCTGCAGGGAGAGAAGGAATTACATATTACCAATATGGTTACCCAGGCCACCCCTTCAGCAGAAATCTGAAAATATGTCCAATATGGAAATAACAATGGTTGTAACATTATTGTGGTCAAGTACAGAGGTAGAGTATATTACATTTTCTTTTCTTATAAGCCTCCCAGCAAAACAAGAAGCTATCATCTTCATCTTCAGTAGGTAAGGAAATAGGTTAAACAAGCCTTCACAGCTAACAAGTAACAGTGCCAATATTTACTTCCAGCTCTACAGGGTAGCAGATTCAAAATTATTCTTATATATCTGCCTGTAATTCAAAAAATTACTGAGTTTGGTAAGAGTTTATACTAAAAAATATTTAAGATACTTATTGACATTAAGATTCTATCCATTCTCAAAACTCTTTCAATTAAAGATTTTCAATTTATTTCCTAAACCAGATCTTTATGAAAAGTTTTATTTATTTTCCATAGGCTACATGGACTCAGTTGACCTATACCTCATTGCTTGATGTCTTCTATGCTCTTAATACCTGACGTTTACATGCCCACTATATTTATTTTACACTCATAATGTGGCTGATCTCCTCAGAAAGTTCATAGACTTCTTTAAGTCCGCACACTGACTCTAGAGTCCTAGGATTTAACCCAAGAATCCAGAATGTTTCTGGATTTTTTCTTTTCACCTTTTTATTTTTATTTCTTGAGACAGAGTCACTCTCTGTTGCCCAGGCTGGAGTGCAGTGGTGCGATCTCAGCTAATTGCAACCTTCACCTCCCGGGTTCAAGTGATTCTCCTGCCTCAGCCTCCCGGGTAGCTGGGACTGCAGGCATGTACCATTACGCCAGGCTAATTTTTGTATTTTTAGTAGAGACAGGGTTTTGCCATGTTGGCCAGCTTGGTCTCTACCTCAGATGATCCACTTGTCTCGGCCTCCCAAAGTGTTGGGATTATAGGCTGAGCCACCGTGCCTAGCCTTTCTTTTCCTTTTCAATTCCTTGGATGGATCTTCAATTTTTCCTTAGTACCTGACTGATCACTACCAACTGTCTTCTAGATCTACACCCTGCTGGTCTTTCTAAACCATACTTCCTACATCTGAGTCACCAGACCATGTTGCAAACGAATTCTCAACAAATATACATGCAATTATTATAAGGCATTTTAATCAATTATTATAAGGCATTTTAACTTTTATATCAAAATATTTCTGTAAAGAAAATATTCACTTTTTCATAAGATGGATAGGTACTAATTAAAACTTTGAAGCAATCTGTTTTTGTTCTTTAAAAAAAAAAAAAATCACTTGACTGTGAAATGTAGATTAAGCGAGCCCCATTGTCCTGGGGATATAGGTGTAAACAACTTGTTTGTGTTTGAAAATGTCATTATGGAGTTATTTAATGGCTGCATATTAATTGTCCTTGGGGAAGAAAACTGGTCTAAAATACTAGATTTGTGAGTTCGGTACAAACTAGTTTTTACATGGAAATGGTTGTATAAATAAAGTGAAATCGAAAGTTGCAAATAAACAGGAAGAAAATGAAGAGAAACTGGCACATTGTAGCATCCTGGAACTGGGGCTATACCTGATCAAATAAACATATGGCCTGAACTAATCTAGATTTGCCATCTTTACATAGTGGGCAAACATTTCAGAAACTATATAGAATGGAATTATACAGTGACAAAAGGTGGAAGCAATTTAAAAAGAACCACTAATGCCTGGCATTAAAGGTGGGTTGAACAAGCAGGATCATGGGTAATTCTAGACAGAGACTGTAGCCAGCAGAAGACTATAGTGGTTATGCAATATGCGTGTAAGCCAAATATTTCTCAAACTACAAGATTTTTATTTTAGCCAGGTGTCGTGGCGTACACCTGCAGTCGCAGCTAATTGAGAGGCTGAGGTGTGGGAATCCCTTGAACCCAAGAATTTGAGTCTAACCTGGGCAATATAGCAAAACTTCCATTTTTTTAAAAAGAAATATTTATTTTAAATTTACTTTATTCCTCTGAGTGTATGGAGAAAAGCTCATAAAAAAGATGTTTCTTTTTTCATTTCTAAAAGTGGTTTTGTTAGTGTGTTTTGTGCAAGAGTCAAACATTACAGGCTCACAGTTTTTAAAAACTTTCACTTTATAGACTGTGTCAGGCCTCTGAGCCTAAGCTAAGTCATCATATCCCCTGTGACCCGCACGTACACATCCAGACGGCTCGTTCTTGCCTTAACTGATGACATTCTACCACAAAAGAAGTGAAAATGGCCTGTTCCTGGCTTAACTGATGACATTATCTGTGAAATTCCTTCTCCTGGATCATCCTGGCTCAAAAGCTCCCCTACTGAGCACCTTGTGACCCCTACTCCTGCCTGCCAGAGAACAACCCCCCTTTGACTGTAATTTTCCTTTACCTACCCAAATCTTATAAAATGGCCCTACCCCTATCTCCTTTTGCTGACTCTCTTTTTGGACTCAGCCCGCCTGCACCCAAGTGAAATAAACAGCCTTGTTGCTCACACAAAGCCTGTTTGGTGGTCTCTTCACACGGACGCTAGTGAAAGACTGATTTCATTGTTTAGTGTATATTACTCTTGATATATATGAAGATTTGCATTTGAATTCCTAATATTCTTTGTTTAAATAAGTTTATAAATTAAATCTAATATTCCATGTCTTTCAGCAGTATCTATCTCCTAATATTACAATAATTAATTAATGTACTTCTTATTCCTCACACACCTCTACCTAATATAAAATAATTTCCATGTCAAGCTGTTTTCACACTTTTGCATTTGGGCATGAATATATCTCAATTATTTAATGTCATATTTCTATAATCTCCTTTGATATAAACATAGTAAAAGTGAAGAAATCAGAATACTTTCTCTGCATCCTACATTGTTACTCCCTACTTAATAATTTTCACTTATGTGATTTTTTTAGCTTATCACATACATAACCTTGACATTTTTTTTTTATTACTGTACTTCCAATAGTTGCTTGAACATTTTTTTCTAAGACTAAATGAATTCATTCCTGACAGGTAAAAACTTATGCCTTTATTTGTTTTTCTTTTTCACCTTTTACTTTAGAATCAGGGGTACATGTGAGGATTATTGTGGAGGTATATTGGCATGATGCTGAGGTTTGGGGTATGACGGAACCCATCGCCCTGGTGATACAATGATAGAGGCAGGAGACTGAGAAATTCTAGGCAGACACGAGCGGGTCCCTGGAGAAGCCACACCCTCGAGCCAAAAAGCCTGAGACCTTGGCCCAAAGTAAGAACTTACATCCTTGTTTTCCTGCTGTAATGTTGCCTTTTCCTAAACTACGCATGGCTCCACCCTGCCCCATCCTGTGCCTATAAAGACCCCAAATTCAGCTGGCAGAGACGAGAAGCAGCTGGATGTCGGGGACTACTGCTGGATGTCAGAGAGCAGTGGCTTGGCTTCAGAGGAAGATTACTTACCCGCCCCCTGTCCCCTTATCAGCTCCCCTTACTGCTGAGAGCCATTTTCATCCGCAATAAAATCCTTCACATTTACCATCCTTCAATTCGTTCCTACAACCTCATTTCTCCTGGATGCCAGACAAGAGCTTGGGAGCAAGGAGCGCGGATACAAAATGTTGAACACTGGCCCTTTGCCCTCACTGTCTGAGGGCAGCCACAGCCCCACTGACATGTTAACACTAAATTAACACTCAGCCACTGTATGGTAGAGCAAAAAAAAGCACTGTAACACGCTCAGCGCACTTGCACCCCCCCCCCCCAAAATGCTGCTGCGGGGCCCTCACAGAGTTTGCTTCTGCCAGCACCCAAAAGCACTCGCCCCGGCTCCTGCACCCGCTCGCCTGCATGCTCCCTCTAATGAGGGGTGGAAGGTAGCAGGCCTAATGAGTGGAGTTCAAGCAGCCAGCTGGTTCCACTTCCAACTGGTGCACTCCAGTTCCTTCCTCCTTTGTTCAAGCGCCTCCCTCCCATGAGGAGTTGAGAGTGGTGTGCTGAGTAAACTAGGCACGCCTGTTGCAAGTACTGTTGCAAAGTGGTCAAGGAAATATCCTGCTTCACTGATACTGAACATAGGACCCAATAGGTAATATTCAGTCCTTGCCCTGGTCTCTCTCTCTCCCGGCTCTAGTAGTTTTCAGTGTCAATTATTCTCACCTTTATGTCCATGTGTACCCAATCTTTAGCTTCCACTTAAAAGTGAAAACATGCACTATTTGGTTTTCTGTTTCCATATTAGTTCCCTTAGAATAATGGCCTCCAGCTGCATCCATGTTGCTGCAAAAGACATAACTTTGTCCTTTTTTATGTATGCATAGTATTCCATGGTAAATATATACCACATTTTCTTTTCCAATTCACTGTTGTTGGGCATCTGGGTTGATTTCTTGTTTTTGCTATTGTGAATAGCACTGCCAGAAACAGATGGGCACATGTGTCCTTTTGCTAGGATGATTTCCCTTTGGGTATAAAGCCAGTAATGGGATTACTGGGTCAACTGGTAGTTCAAATCAGTTCTTTGAAAAAATCTCAAACTGCTCTCCAAAGTGGCTGGACTAATTTACATTTGCATCAACAGGATAAATGTCCCCTTTTCCCCACAGCCTCGTCAACATCTGGTATGTTTTGACTTTTTTACAAAAGTCACTTTGACTCCTGTGAGATGGCATCTCACATGGTTTTGATTTGCATTTCCTTGATAATTAGTGATGATGAGCATTTTTTTTCATATGTTTGTTGGCCACCTGTATATCTTCTTTTAAAAAGTATCTGTTCATGTGCTTTCCTCACTTTTTAATGGGGTTATTTGATTTTTGTTCGTAATTTGTTTAAGTTCTTTATAGATTCTGGATATTAGACCTTTATTGGATGCATAGTTTGCAAATATTTTCTTTCATTCTGTAGGTTGTTTACTTCCTGAATAGTTTCTCCTGCTGTGCAGAAGCTGTTTAATTTAATTAGGTTCCCCTTGTCAATTTTTGTTTTTGTTGCAATTGCTTTTGGAGATTTAGTCATAAATTGTTTACCAAGGCCAATATCGAGAAGGGTATTTCCTAGATTTTCTTCTAGGATTTTTATAGTTTGAGGTTTCACATTTAAGTCTTCAATACATTATGAGTTAATTTTTGTATATGACGATAGGTAGGGATCCAGTTTCATTTTTCTGCATATTGCTAGTCAGTTATCCTAGCACCATTTATTGAATGGAAATTCTTTCCCCCACTGCTTATTATTGTAGAGTTTGTTGAAGATCAGGTGGCTGTAAGTGTGTGGCTTTATTTCTGGGTTGTCTATTCTGTTTCATTGATCTATGTGTCTGTTTTTGTACCAGTATCATTGTTTTCATTATTGTAGCCTTGTAGTACAGTTAGGTAATGTAATGCCTCCAGCTTTGTTCTTTTCGTTTAGGAAAACTTTTGGCTATTTTGGGCTCATTTTTAGTTCCATAAAAATTTTAGGATAGTTTCTTTTTTTTTAATTTTGTAAAAAATGGTGTTGGTAGTTTGATACTAATAGCAATGAATCTATAAATTGCTTTGGGCAGCATGGCCTTTTAATGATATTGATTTTTCCAATCCATGAGCATATAGTTTTTCCATTTACTTGTGTCATATCTGGTTTCTTTCAGCAGTAGTTCTCCTTTCAGCAGTAGTTCTTCTTGTAGATCTCTTTCACTTCCTTGGTTAGATGTATTCCAGGTATTTTATTTTTGTGTGTCTACCTTTATTTTTATTTTATATCTTGGTAAGACAAATTTAGCAAATTCCTAAGAAATTTCTCATGTAAACAATTTTTCCTCTGTCTTTATATGTCAACTTTTTTTTCCATTATATACCTCTTTGTTTCCCTGAAAATTTTGTAGGTATTTATTGCTTGTATCATAAACATCGTTATAGTATTGTGAATAAGTCTGAAACCAGCCTAATCTTTTCCACTCTTAACTGTTTTGAAATTTGGGGACTTATCATTTTGTAGTCAATTCTGAATCAATATTTTGTCAGACAAACTATGCTTTTCAATTTGTGTATTGAAGTCCTCTTTTTTTATTTGTATGTATGATATTTTTAAAAACATGTTTTATTTTTTCCCATAAATCTTACATATATGTATTTATATGTATGTGTGTGTATACACAAGACAAAGTTATGTCACATATAAATAAGTATATGTAATATATGTATACATACATATGCATGTAATATATGTTTACATACATACATATGTATGTATATATATGACATACCTTTGGTTGTCTTGGATTTATTCTGCCTTATACCTTTTCCAAGTTTAACCATATTTTTATGTTAGTTTCATTTCTTTCTCCCAGGTGTTTCCTGAGCTTTGAGGATTCAGGTTTCATTTCTTTATATAGACTTATCATAATTTCCTTGAGCTATTTTATTTTCTCTTTGAGCATTTGCATTTCTGTGTAGTTAATTTATTATGTTTCTTTCTTCTTTGAATGTATGGTCACAATTTTCTTCTTTTTCATTTTATTATCTTTCTTATTGATATTCCCCATCTGCCATCCTGTTTTTCTCTATTTTGCTTGTATGAGAACAATTAAATAATTTTATTACTCATATTAAAATGTTTTTTCCTCAATTGTATTATTATTTTAAAACCAATATAGATGTATTATTATTAATATCTATAGTTTACTTTGTAGTTCCCTCTTGTAGCTGTACAGTTACATGGGTTTTGACACAGATGCATAAAGTCCCATATCTACTATAACAGCATCAAACAGAATAGTTTCATGGTCTTTAAAATCTCTTGTGCTCTATCTACTTATCCCCTACTTCATTACTCCCTGAGAATCAGTGATTTTTCTACTGTCTTTATAGTTTTGCCTTTTGCAGAATGTCACATAGTTAAAATTATACAGTATGTGGCCTTCTGGCACTGCTTTCTTTCCCTTAACAATATGTGTTGTAAGTGCCTCCATGTATTTCTATAGCTTGACTGTTCATTTCTTTTAATTTTCCATTGTGTGAGTCTATATAAGTCTGAGGGTCTGTGGCTTGTCTAATTTTTATTTCCCTATTCAACTGTTTTAGAATATCTTCAAACTATTTACTCATTCATCTATTAAAGGAAATCTTGGTTGCTGCTAATTTTTTTTGCAATTGCAAATAAAGTGGCTATAAACACAAATGTGCAAGTTTTTGTATGATGTAAGCTTTCAGTTTATTTGTGCAAACATTTAGGAGAGTGATTGCTGGGTGACATGGTAAGACTGAGTTAACCTTTGTAAGAAACTCCCAAATTGTCTTCCAACATGGCTGTATGCTTATTTTGATATGCATTCCTTTGTGCTTTCTAGCGTTTTGGGTGCAGAGTCCACCTAATTCATAAATTTGGAGAGATTATTTGAAAAGGTTTTGCTTATAGAGAAAAAAAGCAATAGAATTCAAATGTGTGTGGCAGACTGAAGAGAAGCCACATATTCCTTTTCTTGTGAACCACTACTGTTGGAAGCGTCTTTCCTTTCCAGCGTCCTAGTATCTGGTATCTGAAGTTAAAGCAATATATATGTTCAATACAAAAGAACTAAACAAAAACAGTAAATAAGCAACAGAAACTATCAAAGCGAATAGACAACCAATATAATTTAAAAGACTGTTAAATAAATGACAATCTCAACAACTTTAGAAATTCAAGAAAATTTAAACAAAATGTTATGAGATGTTGAGATTCTGTCCTTTACATGTCAAACTGGCAAAGCTGGAATCCAAAACATGTTAAACCCTGAAACTCTGAGCTTTATTTCAAAGTACTATGAAGTAGGCACTCTTTTAAAAACACTGGAAAGTTTACAATGGCATAACCATTTGAGATTATTTATCAAGAGCCTTAAAGAATACACACACACACACACACACACACACACACACACACACACACTCATATGCATACCAAATAGATGCACATAGCATATTTGATACCAGGAACAGATATTTTAAAAAATACTTGGAGTCTTATTCTAAACTGAAACTTGGCATTGCTAGACATGTATTAAGTATTCCTGAGATGTTAGTTGAAAGGGAAGTGCAGACAGCAGGATTGGGCAGTAAGAAGGTGAGCTGCAAATGCTGTCAGTCTGTAAACATCCACGAGTAACGAGTAACCCCACAGGGGCTCTCAAGCTAGAAGAGTCCTTTACAATTGTCCCCAGGTGAGCTATTATAGTCAGGCCTTTTTTCCAGCATTGATCAGCCTTTGCATATGGACATTCCTGGGAACCTCCCCTAGGCAAATATATATAAATATATATTATATATTATAAAATATATATGGGATAAAATATATGTAATATAATTACATATAGGTCAATATATAATTATATATTAGTTAATATATTATATATTATATATAAAATGTTTTATATATAATATATAATATAAAAGTTATACATAAATATATGAATATATAAATAATAAAATATATATAAAATAAATATATACACACAAAAACCATATAACAACTGATAATTATTACCTTTGTTAACTTTTTTATATAAAAATATATTATTCAAATTTATAAAAATTTTATACATAACCACAATGTTTGAACTCATTTACACTCTGTAGACATTGCAAGACTCCTATTTTAACAAACAATTTTCTGGCTATAAACATTCTATTTTCATGTGTGCATGAGTGGCCAAACTGTTAGTTAAAATATAGGATGACTATAATTACCAATAATGTATATTTCAAAATAACTGAAATAGTGGAATTAGAATGTTTATAATACAAAGTAATCATAAATGCTAGAGGAGATGTATATACCAATTACCTGGATTTGATCATTACACATTGTATTCTTGTATAAAAATATCACACGTACTCCACAAATATGTACAACTATTATGTATTCATAATAACTAAAATTATAGATATATGTTCCCTATTTTCCTATTTTTTTTACCAATATTCTCTATTTTAATTTGTTTTTGTAGAATTACTAATGATATCAGGAATTATTTTATGTGTTTATTACTCAAGTGTACTTTTTAAAAATTAAAGCCTAGGTACAAATGATTAGTAATGTTCCTCACCCATACTCTAGTATTTGATCTATTTAAGTATATTAACCTATGTAAGGCCTCTCTATTTATTTGTTCACAAATGTATTCTTTTCTTTATAATTCAGATTTCCACTCTTATTACATTCTATCAACATTGACAATGACTTCATGTGTTTAAAGCACCCTTATATTTATTCATATTATTTAAAACATATACTGCTGAATTAAAAGCAGTATAATAATTTTTACTTTGAATTTTAATATTAAATTTTTATTGTATGGAAAGGGTATTGTCTCATATACCTAATTCTGTTTAATGGTTTCACTTAGCACAGTAGTTTTTGTAAGATCCATCCATATTATAATGTGTAAATTTTACAGTTTTATACCAACCGTTGACTGAAAAGATTTTGATGAGGATTTCTTTAGTACCTTGTAACTCTTTAGATTTTATTATTTATTTATTAAAGGATTATTTCTATTTATTTATTTGAATCCTCTATTTCTGTTCTACTAATAGCATTTGTAGGTATTTATCAATTTCATTGAGTGTTTAATAATTCTTTTTTGATATTTGTTTAAAAATTTATTCCTAAACCAGTATTTAAAATGTGGTCTTTTAAATTTTATAATACTTTTAATGGTTTTTTCAGCCTACTGATCTACGTGTGAGAATAATGTAAAGCTAAGTGTGCATGTGTATGTGCACCTGTATGTGTGCATAATGAGAGGTAGCTATATCTTCTCCTCCCACTCTTCAAATGCTTAGTGATAGTTGCAATACCATTTCTACCGTTTTCCATTTATATAACAATATGACATTCTTTTAATTATTAACCCCCTAGTACCTTTACATATTTTCCCCCAAAAGATGCTTTTTTTCAAAATGTTTTGAATAATCTCAGATGTAATATTTACCCCAAACTGACTTTTAGATCCGCTTGTCAATTTCCATTAAAAAAAAATGTTAAATTGACTGAGTCCACATTGACTTTTCAGATATATTGGGAAAATCTTGCAGATCATACGATACTAAATATATGTATTTATGCATGTAGACTACCTGTACAAATAGTCAGGGTTTCTGCTATATTCTGCTATATTTGTCTTTTGAAAAGCTTGTTGAACACGTATATATAAATATTTCTGCGGTAAAATATTTCTATCTTTCAATTTTTATAATCAATTATGCAATGCACAAATAGCTCCAATTAGGAAAAAATATAGAGCTATTGCTTCTATATATAATTGCTGCAGCCTTGTTTTCAATAGGAAATTTTTTTCAAAAATTAAAAGACCAGTAACTGGGAAATAGATTACTTATAAAAGTTTTAGCCAGGCAGTGCCATTTTACAGTCATTGTCTAGTTCTTATTTTATTTGACTTTTTGGTAACTTTTGGCACAGTTTATGCATCTTATTAAACTTTCTTTCATTGGCTCCATTAACAGCACATTTGTTGAATTCCTTTTACTTCATGGGCTACTCCTTTTCAGTCTTAAGGTCTATGTAAATGGTTCACTGCTAGATTAGACTCTTCTACTTGTTTACTCCTAATATGGAAGCAAGGAGATAAGTCCTTGGTTCTTTTCTCTTCTCTTCCTACACCCCCACTTCAATGACTTCACTTGGGTACCAAGGTGATATAGTTTGGCTGTGTCCCCACCCAAATCTCATCTTGAATTGTAGCTCCCATAATTCCCACATGTTATGGGATGGACCTACTGGGAGATAATTGAATCATGGGGGAATTTCCCTCATACTTTTCTCACGGTTATGAATAATTTTCATGAGATCTGATGTTTTTAATAAGGTGTTTCCCCTTTCTCATTCTCTCTTGCTGCCACCATATAAAACATGGCTTTCACCTTCCACCATGATTGTGAGGCTTCCCCAGCCACATGGAAATGTGAGTCCGTTAAACCTCTTTTCCTTTATAAATTACCCAATCTTGGGTATGTATTTATAAGCAGCATGAAAATGGACTAATACACATGGCATTAAAGCTGTATAAATTGAAACTACAAATTGACAACTTCAACCTAGACTACCTCTTCAGAGCTAGCTACATGCCTGTTTATATAACTATTTACCCTATAATTTGATTGTCCACATAATAACATGGTAAACATGAAAAAGATTGAACTCCTCATCTCTCCACTCCCAAACCTGATCTGCCCTCAGCCTTCTCCATATCAGCTTATAGTAACTCAATTATTTCAGTAGCTCAGGCCAAAAACCTGAACTATTGTTGACACTCGTGTCATTTATATTCCATGTCCTATGTACCAGGTGATCATATTTTATCTCTTTTCCAGTAAATGTAGGTTTGTACCATTCCTCACCATCTATACTGGCACCAGCTTAACCTGAGACACTCTCATCTCCCACTGGGATAATATGGTAGCCTCTCCTTCCTAGCATCTACCAGTCTTTGTATAGCTTATTATCAACATATTAAAAAGTAACTATTTAAAATGTTGAGGATCATAATTTTATTCTTCTGTTCAATATTCTTCTCCCAAGTCTAGCTCTATAATTTGAGGTGGTTGGCATAAGATAAAAATACTGGTCCTCCACTGTGGGCAGAGAACTTAATCTCCCCTCCTGACAGGTCCTCCATCCTAACTCCCAACAGACAGGCAACCTGATATGATTTGGCTGTGTCTCCACCCAAATCTCATCTTGATTGTAACTCCCACAATTCCCACTTATTGTGGGAAGGACCCAGCAGGAGGTAATTGAATCATGGGGGTGGGTCTTTCTCATGCTGTTCTCCCAATAGTGAATAAGTCTCATGAGATCTGATGGTTTTAAAGGGGAGTTCCCATGCACCAACTCTTTTTTTGCCTGCTGCCATCCATGTAAGACATGACTTGCTCCCCTTGCTTTCTGCCATGATTGTGAGGCCCCCCCAGCCACGTGGAACTATAAGTCCATCAAACCCTTTCCCCTGTATAAATTACCGAGTCTTGGGTATGTCTTTATCAACAGCATGAAAACAGACTGATACAGTAAATTGGTACCAAGAGTGGGTGCTGCTGTAGATATGCAAAAATATGAAAGTGACTTTGGAACTGGGTAATAGGCAGGGGTTGGAATAGTTTGGAGGGCTAAGAAGAAGACAGGAAAATGTGGGAAAATTTAGAACTTCCTAGAGACTTTTGAATGGCTTTGACCAAAATGCTGATAGTGATATAGACAATAACATCCAGGCTGAGAGGGTCTCAGATGGAAATGAGGAACTTGTTGGGAACTGGTGCAAAGGTGACTCTTGTTATGTTTTGGTAAAGAGACTGGCAGCATTTTGGCCCTGCCCAAGAGATTTGTGGAATTTTGAACTTGAGAGAGATGATTTAGGGTATCTGGAGAAATAAATTTCTAACCAGCAAAGCATTCAAGAAGTGACTTGGGTGCTGCTAAAGGCATTCAGTTTTAAAAGGAAAACAGAGTACAAAAGTTTAGAAAATGTGCAGCCTGACAATGCAATAGAGATGAAAATCCCATTTCTGAGAAGAAATTCAAGTTGGATGCAGAAATTTGTGTAAGTAACAAGGAGCTGAATGTTAATCTCCAAGACAATGGGGAAAATGTCTCCAGGTCATGTCAGAGGTCTTCACAGCAGCCCCTCCCATCACAGGTCCAGAGGTCTAGGAAGAAAAATGGCTTCAAGGGCTAGGCCCAGGGTCCCCATGCTGTGTGCAGCCTAGGGACTTGGTGCCCTGTGTTCTAGCTGCTCCAGCCCTAACTAAAAGAGTAAAGGTATAGCTCAGGCTGGGCTTCAGAGGGTACAAGCCCAAAGTCTTGGCGGCTTTCAAGTGGTTTTAACCTAACAGGTGCACAGAAGTCAATAATTGAGGTTTGGGCACCTCCACCTAGATTTCAGACGATGTATGAAAACACCTAGTTGCCCAGGCAGAAGTTTGCTGCAGGGGCAGGGCCCTCACAAAGAACCTCTGCTAGGGCAGTGCAGAAAGGAAATGTGGGGTTGGAACCCCCACACAGAGTCCCTACTGGAGTACCACCTAGTGGAGCTGTGAGAAGAGGGCCACCATTTTCCAGACCCCAGAATGGTAGATCCACTGACAGCTTGCACCATGTGTCTGAAAAGCCATACACATGGAATGCTGGCCCATGAAAGCAGACAGGAGGGGGGCTCTACACTGCAAAGCCACAGGGACAGAGCTGCCCAAGGCCATGGGGACCCACCTTTTGCATCAGGTGAGCTAGAAGTGAGACATGGAGTCAAAGGACATGATTCTGGAGCTTTAGTATTTGACTGCTCTGCTGGATTTTGCACTTGCATGGGGCCTATAGCCCCTGTGTTTTGGCCAATTTATCTCATTTGGAATGGCTGTATTTACCCAATGCCTGTATCCCCATTGTATCTAGGAAATAACTAACCTGATTTTGATTTTACAGGCTTATAGGTAGAAGGGACTTGCCTTGTCTCAGATGAGACTTTGGACGGTGGACTTTTGAGTTAATGTTGAAATGAGTTAAGACTTTGGGGAACTGTTGGGAAGGCATGATTGGTCTTGAAATGTGAGGACATGAGATTTGGGAGGAGCCAGGGGTGGAATGATATGGTTTGTCTGTGTCTCCACCCAAATCTCATCTTGAATTTTAATTCTCACAATTCCCATGTGTTGTGGGAGGTACCCAGTGGGAGTAAATGGATCATGAGGGTGGGTCTTTCTCATGCTGTTTTCGAAATACTGAATAAGTCCCATGAGGTCTGATGGTTTTAAATAAAGGAGTTCACCTGGAAAAACTTTCTCTCTCTTTGCCTGCTGCCATCCATGTAAGACATGACTTGCTCCTTTTTGCCTTCCACCATGATTGTGAGGCCTCTCCAGCCATGTGGAACTTAAGTCCATTAGACCCTTTTTCCTGTATGAATTTTCCAGTCTAGGGTAGGTCTTTATCAGCAGTGTGAAAATGGACTAAAATACAATGCCAGAGAAATTTCAATCACTTTATCTGGACATTCTATGTACCTGGAAGTAGTAGAAAGTAGAGTTAGAGGTCCTCATCTAGTCACCTGCCACCTAGTGCTGTCAGCCCAGAGAGGGAAAGTTGCAGCCTTGAGACAGTGTGGGGTGTTTGCCTCACCCCACTGGGGCCATAGGAAGACAGAAGAGTGCTGGAATCCCCATATTACCAGGTTGCTACTCCAGCAAAAGTTAGCATCAGTCTCCAGTTGGAGAGATTGAGTAAGGTCTGGAGTGATAGGGGCTAGAAAGTAAGATTGAGTATTTTTAGTAGAGACAGGGTTTCACTGTGTTAGCCAGGATGGTCTAGATTCCTGACCTCGTGATCTGCCTGCCGAACAAAAAAATTAGCTGGGCGTGGTGGCGGCGGGCGCCTGTAGTCCCAGCTACTTGGAAGGCTGAGGCAGGAGAATGGCGTGAACCCGGGAAGTGGAGCTTGCAGTGAGCCAAGATCGCCCCATTGCACTCCATCCTGGGGGACACTGTGAGACTCCATCTCAAAAAAGAAAGTAAGATTGAGCAAGGCCTGGAGTGGGAAGGGCTTCTACCATCCTGAAGACGTAGAAAGGAGATAGGAGATGGGATTATGAGTGAGCTAAAACTCCTGACGCCAGTACCCTGGAGCATCTGCCATTGTCCCATTGGACATCACTTTCAAAACACAATTCAAAGATAAAATGTAACCATAGAGCATTACATCCTAAATGCTGGGTGTCCTTTTATGACTACATTGGTCACCCACATAGAAAGCCCTGCACTGAATTTTTTTTTTTTTTTTTTTGAGACAAGTGTCTCACTCTGTCACGCTGGCTGAAGTGCAGTGGCATGGGATCTCTGCTCACTGCAGCCTGGACCACCCAGGCTCAAGAGATCCTTCCACCTCCACCTCTGGCGTAGCTGGGATCACAGGCATGCACCACCACACCCGATTAATTTTTTGTATTTTCTGTAGAGATGGAGTTTTGCCATGTTGCCCAGGCTGGTCTCAAACTCCTGACCTCAAGTGATCCGCTCTCCTTGGCCTCCCAAAATGCTGGGAGCAAAGGGATGAGCCACTGCAATTTACTTAACAGCCGAGTCTTGATGAGATAATACAGGGCATCCTACCTGACATTCCCAGATTCTACTCTTTTCTCTTTCTCTCCAGTCATCAGGGCCTCCATTTCTCTCCTAGAACACACCAGGCTTAGGGTTCAGGCACTGGTTTTTCTCTCTGCCTGAAATTTTCTTTCACCTTTCTCTGATATCCTCAGCACTAACTTTTTTACCTCCATCAAATCTGTCAAATCTCACCTTCTCAATGAGGACAGCCCTGCAAGGCTGCTTAAAATACAACCTCTCACTTGAACACAGGAGACGGACGTTGCAGTGAGCTGGGATCGTACCACTGCACTCCAGCCTAGGCGACACAGCAAGACTCTGTCATAAATAAATAAATAAATAAATAAATAAATAAATAAATAAATAAAATAAAAAAAATACAACCTCTCTATCCTATTCACTAATTATTTATATCATATTTTTTCCTTAATATAATCCATGGCACTCATCATCTTTTTACTATACTATGTAATTGAATTCTTTACTTTTTAAAAGTATTTATTGCCTATCTTCTGCCTCCAAAAAAACAAGCTCTATGAGAGCAAGGATCTTTATCCTCTTCTTTTGTGAGTAGTGTTGTCATGATTTTTAAAATTTTTAAAATTTTCAGTAGTTTTTGGGGTATGGGTGGTTTTTAGTTACATGGGTAAGTCGTTTAGTGGTGAATTCTGAGATTTTAGTGCACCCATCTCCCAAGCAGTGTACGCTACCCAATAGGTAGTATTTTTTCCATCAACCGCCCCAAATTCCCCACCTCCACCGAGTCCCCAAAATCTATTATAACACTTTATGTGTGTTTATATCCTCATAGCTGAGCTCCTATTTGTGAGAAAATATGGCATCTGGTTTTCCATTCTTGAGTTGCTTCACTTGGAATAATGGCCTCTAGTTCCATCCAAGTTTCACTGATAAAATTCATCCATCTACAAAATTACCTGGCACATAATCACTAAAAAATTAGTTGTCAGATTAACTAATTGAAATTATTATTTTCACATTTATTTAAAAAAGGTCATAATACACTGAATGAAAAGATACAAATTTGTAGATACTGAATGACCTATCTAGTATAAATAATGTTTGTATGGGTGTAGAAATAAATGTGTACCTAGACGTATGTGCTTGATTAGATGCATGTGTTTGTGTGTGAGTGTGTGCATGGAAAAAAACTGAAAGGGAATATTACTAGTTTTTTTTTTTTCTTTTAAGTGTTGAATTGATGGGCAACTTTTTAAAATGTTTTATAGTTTTACGTTATCTACAGTATTAATTTAATGGGTATAAAAAATAAATGTTATGGCCGGGCACAGTGGCTCACGCCTGTAATCCCAGCACTTTGGGGGGCCGAGGCAGGCGGATCATGAGGTCAGGAGATCGAGACCATCCTGGCTAACACAGTGAAATCCCGTCTCTACTAAAAATACAAAAAATTAGCCGGGTGTGGTGGTGGGTGCCTGTAATCCCAGCTACTTGGGAGGCTGAGGCAGGAGAATGGCGTGAACCCAGGAGGCGGAGCTTGCAGTGAGCCGAGATCGTGCCACTGCACTCCAGCCTGGGCGACAGAGGAGACTCCATCTCAAAAAAAAAAAAATTATATTAAGAAATACAATGTCATCATTTCCCAGAAATGTTAATAATCTCTCCCCTATGATATTCATAGAATCTCAGATTCTTACTTGTACCTGTACCTTTCAGGAATTGCTGAAGATCAGTAGAAGAAAACTTAAATCAGCTTCTCCTAATAGCTAAGAAATAGGTTTCCTTGTCTAATCCCAACAACCCTAATGTGTCTGTCACAAATTTCATAAGGAATGCATGACATTCACAAAGCGACTTTGACTGATGCTAAGCTACTGATTATCTTTTCTCATTTATTAATTTAGAAATCTTTTTTTTTCTGTGTGATCACTTGTGTTTCCAGTGACTATATATGGCACAACCAAGAATTGACACTAAAGCAAATGTCTCCTGATGTTATGGTGATGAAGCTTTTAAGAACTGAAGTTATAAGGAAACTCAGTGATATTAGACAGACAGGGGAAGTATACACGGGGTGCATGTGCATCAAGATTGAGACTGGGCATAAGCACTATGTGAGCCCAGGTGCTGGGTTTTTCTGCTGCCACCCACAACATTCGTATCTGGAAAAAGTCAGCTTAAGATGAACATCACAAGAGGGAACCTTGAAGAGGGAATGAAGAAAGAGAATCAATAAACATATGCCTTGATGGTAATAATCTGATTATTTAGAGTACATTTTTATATATTATACACTTGAACTTATATTAAGCTTATGTTTTTGTTTGTGTTTTAATTATCAGCTGACAAAGGCCTTTTCTTTCTCTTTTCCTGCATATATATTACACCATATTCATTTTATAAACACATTTCTCAAAATTCTTGCTTATTTTAGATGAAAAAACACCAATTTAATTTCTCTTTCTTTTTCTTTTTCTTTTTTTGGACTAAATTAGCCAGCCATTGTAATGTCCCAGGAAAGCACAGCTCACAGTACATTATAGTGAATTCAACTTCAATCACATGGAATAATACTCAGCTCAATTATCATTTCAACTCAATTGCATTCATTCCTACTGGGTTTAAATTCCATTTTCTTAGTAGGCCCTCTTTTTTCTCTAAAAGTGGGATACTCTTAAGCATATAGTAGTAGCACTTTTGAATACAACAGAATGGAATCAGACTTTTATTGAGGTCAAACAAAATTGGAGAAGAATTGCATATAAATCCACCTCTGCTCGTGTTTTCAGCATTATATGTGCATTTAATGTTAATTTAGTTCAAATTATAATTTTCTATATTTCTATAATTTAATTAACCTCTTCTCACTCTATGCTTCAATATCTCTTTGTCTGCAACTCCTTGGTAACACTTAGCACATTTGACTTGCTCTGTGAGGATGAGGAAGTCACGTTGATTGGATTTCTAGGTGACAATTACTGTATGGGTTTCTTTATACACAGGTGATCTCCATTTTCTCATTGAATCCTAGCATTAACACTTTACAGTTGATGCTAATTTGATGCTAGTTATCCATAGGTAGTACTAAATTTCAGAAGATTTAGGAACATAATTTCAAACCACGATACAATACATAGAAGGGCTGGCTTTCAAACCAGGTATATCCTAATCCAAAACTCAATTTATGCTATCTCTAATTATCCATGCCAGCCTTTATCACTAGACTGTAAGCTACCTAAACTCAATAATATTGATTTCTTGCAGAATACAGCATTTTCTTAGCAAATTGCAAATTTTTATATAATGTTGGCCGCAGGATAACTCTCAATATGTTTATTCATGACACGTAGGCTTAAGTGATACTCCATTTTACAATAAAAAAAAGACTAATTACTTTGATCCTCAAAGTGATTTTATAGAAGTAGAAAAATCATTACATTTTTCAGGGCTAAAGTATGGGGAAAATAATGAACAAATAAACAAATAAATAAATGAATGAATAAAAACTACAAGGATCTAAATAATAAATCACTTAATTATTTAAAGCCAAATCTGACTCACAATGAATGGCATTGCTTCTTATTCTGTGTTCTGTTCTCAAAATAAAATAATATATATTAGGGAAAAATCAACCCAAAGAAATTCAGATTTTTTTTTCTACATATATGCTATACATAAATGAAATATTAAAACCTCCACCCAAGTTCTGAAAAAAGCTATTTATTGAGACAAAGCACATTGAAATGTATTAGTATATTTAGAAGTTCACTTTTCCTAAGATGATGAGAAAATCTACAGTGTACTGTTCATTTTTTATTATAATTACCAAAATAATTATTAAAAAATAGTTTTTCAAGTCCAAAACAAACCAAAATGAAATAAAATTTTAGATCAAGGCAGCTTTTTCCTAAACTATATTAGAAACTTTTTTAAAAAGATTAATGTATTTTATATAACTTTCTATAAAAAACAAAAAATCATTCAATTTATAAGGATACTAATAATTATCCAGAAAATTTAAAAACATATCTTCTAATTTCCAAGTTTCCATTTAGAATTATGCTCATTACTTTAGATATTTTTTATAAGCACATACAGTTGATAAAGGAAGGAAGTAATTGAACTTCAAATTAGAATTTTATATATAAGCTATCTCTTAATTCAACCTGGCTTTAAATCTGTGAATAAAAGTAAAACCAACTTCAGTTGATATTAATTTAATAACCTTATGACAGTAGAAAGAAATGGGCATGGATTTGCTTTTGACTAAGATAAATATTAAAGTTAAGTTTTTCCTCTCTACTTAGCTTTGCAGTTACCCTCAAGGCATTAATCTATTGAAAGGGATAAGATATCATCTTTCAGAGAAAACATGTCATAAATATTTTGATAAAGTATTTGTAATCCTCGAAAACAGATGGCTGTTCCAAAAATATTGTCAGCTGAGAAGGTTTTGCTGACAGAATCGTATTAAACAACAGCAACTGGGTTTTGCACTGCACAATCAGATGTATTCTCTTCTATTAATGAATCACAGCTGGCTGATTTTTCTGACAGCTGGATCTTACAAGACCTAATTTTCACCCTTTGCTCTATTGCTGACTAATGAAACCCAAATCAAGTGAAATAGGCTTTTGCAGGGTGAGGGGTATAATGATAGATTTACAAGTAGAGGAGAAACATGAAGAATGTTGACGCAACCTTATAAATATGGGAAAATGGAAATATTCCCAAGGACCATGGGCAGAAGTATCTTCCAGAAAATTTATATATCAGGGGAAAAGATCCCTATATCAATAATGATAACACAATAAGGACAATGTTCATTTCCCCCAGGGGTTTCCACTTGGCTAATGACATTCCATTACCTACTTGATTATTGCATCTAGTTTTCTTTATTAACCTTTGGATAATATTTTGGTGGGTAGACTGCATGACTTTGCAATACTAAAACTCAAGTTTTGCTCTTGTAATTTAGAATTTAGTATATTCTTTATACAGGATTACAAAGTTACTTACTGTATTAGTCTGTTCTCATGCTGCTAATAAAGACATACTTGAGATTGGGTAATTTATAAAGCAAAAGAGGTTTAATGGACTCATAGTTTCACATGGCTGGAGAAGCTTCACAATCATGGCAGAGACTAAGGAAGAGCAAAGGGACGTCTTACATGGCAGCAGGCAAGACAGCATGTGTAGGGGAACTGCCCTTTATAAAACTATTAGATCTTGTGAGACTCATTCACTATCATGAGAACAGCATGAGAAAAACCTGCCCCCCCATGATTCAATTACCTCCCACAGGGTCGCCCCCATAACACACAGGGGTTATTAAAATTCAAAGTGAGATTTGGGTTGGGACACAGAGCCAAACTTTATCATTTTCTATTTGTAATTTTTTTACTACTAAGAAGGTAAAAAAAAGGTCATCAACCAATTTTTCTAAATATCAAATGAGCCAAGGCATGGAAACGATGGGTGTAATTGGATGTAATAGACAAGAAGTGAGTTTAAGGGCACTCTTTAAATACTTTGTTGAATTTCTCTCATTATTTGTCATTGTCTCAAATTTTCTTTTCATTTATTTTTTTTGCCTCTTTGATGTTTTTCTCTCCCTTCCAATACAGTATAAATTTATGTAAGCAAGAATTTTGTGTTGATCATTTCTGTATTACATCCTCAGTGTAGAAAACAATGCCCACAATAAAATATGTCCTCAGTAAATAAATGTTCAAGAAATGCCATGCAATGTACCTATAAAGTTGAACTCACAGTATACATTTTGTGTTCTGAATTAATTTACTTTTTATTTGCAAAAATTATTTATTTATCAAATATACATTCTGTACCTACCATGTATGAAGCATTGTATTAGTTGCTTCAGAGCAAATATGAGTAGGATATCATCTCTATCTAGGTGGAAAAGAAAAGAAGAAAACCAAACATTAGAGCAAATATTTCATTTTCTTATTTATTTGTTTATGTATTCATTTATTTATTTTGTGATCGTGTCTCACTCTGTGGCCTAGGTTGGGGTGCAGTGGGGTTATCTCACCTCACTGCAACCTCTGCCTCCTGGGTTCAAGTGATTCTCCTGCCTCAGCCTCCCAAGTAGCTGGGACTAGGACTACAAATGCGTGCCATCACACCTGGCTAATTTTTGTATTTTTAGTAGAGAAGGGGTTTCACCATGTTGGCCAGGCTGGTCTCAAACTCCTGACCTCGAGTGATCCACCCACCTCAGCCTCCCAAAATGCTGAGATTACAGGCATGAGGCACCGCCCCCGACCTCCTTTGCATTTTTAGTTTTTAAGTAGTGAAATTCAACTTTCATACAAAAAGCAAAATCTAGGTATTTTAGATCTGAAAGTAATTGGGATTTGCTAATCCACATTCATTTCACAGAGAAGAAATTCAGGGACCCATAGGCTAAAAGAGCCATGTAATATTTCTTTGCTTGTTAGGGAAGATTTTCTAATTTTCAGGCCACCATTCTTTAAATGAGTGTATTCGTCCATTTTTTCAAATTTTGAACACTTATAAAAGCTATGTAGGGGAGATGAAGAATGGAAGGTATAATGTGAAATGATTAAAATATTGTTTCTATCTTATAAGTAGCAAAAAGATTACTGGAAAATAGATTATTTAGGTACTTTTGGCCATCATCTGAAATTTTATAAATACTGGGACCTCCCATACACTTGGGTAGTTTTAAATTGTTTAATTTAAAGTTTTTTTCCTGACACAGTGCCTTGCAAGTATTTATTCAAAGTGGTTAAACTGATAAAGAAAGAATGAGTGAGTGTATTACACAAAGATGCCCACATTATTCATTTTTATAGAAATTCTGATAATATATGAGAGAAATGTACTTTTATCTTTTGATAAGGCACCTGACACATTCTATATGGCCCATGCTTATCATTGAATCTAACCTGATATTATCTTAAATAAATTCTAGAAAGGTAACTTTCAGGCCATATAATTTAAAAGTCTGCCATGAGCCAGGCATCATGCAAATATGAAAAAAATCAAATATTAACGTGAGTTATTCTCATCCTTAGGTAGCTCATAAACTAATGAGGTAGGCATAAATATGAACATGTACAAATATAAAGTGTGAAAAGTGACTTGATTCACTTAAAAAGTCTTGGTTAGTATCGTTATAAAAATGTCTCACAAGTCTAGATTTTAAATTTGACTTTATTTGCTTTGTGTCATATTTGTATATTCTGCCACCCACTGCATGCCTCCATATGAGTTTACCATACACATTTCAAGAAAGATGGGCAGAACTTATCTCATTATTATTTCTGAAATGTATCATATTTCTTATGCTTCTAATCTCTTTTAATGGTAAAATCACTAACCTAGTCATTCAAGTCATTTTTATTGCTCTTACACAATTAATTTCCAAGACTCTTTATTTTCCCTTTGTTTCCTTCCTTATATCTGCTGTCCATTCCTGTTATTTCTTATGTAGTTCTGTCTATTCCTGTCATTTCTTATGTAGTTGAGGCCTCTGATTCTCTTTAACCAGAATCAGTACTAGAGTCTGCTCAATTTTTTCTTGCTTCAAATTCTGGAGAACATTTCATAGAACAGCAATGGCATGACTGAAGTCATATAATTATAAGAATTGACTTATTCTCAGGAAATTGCAAATGTTGGCTGTCACCAGGACTCAAGAGAGCAGTTAAGGTGTGCAATGACTTGGTATAAGTACTTAGGCTGGGCGCTGTGGCTCACGCCTGTAATCCTAGCACTTTGGGAGGCCGAGGTGGGTGGATCACCTGAGGTCAAGAGTTTGAGACCAGCCTGGCCAACATGGTGAAACCCCATCTCTACTAAAAATACAAAAAATTAGCTGGGCGTGGTGGCTTGCACCTGTAATCCCAGCAACTCAGCAGGCTGAGGCAGGACAATTGCTTGAACCCGGGAGAAGGAGGTTGCAGTGAACCGAAATGGCGCCATTGCACTCCAGCCTGGGTGACAAGAGCTAGTAGATTCCATCTCAAAAAAAAAAAAAGAAAGAAAGAAAGAAAAAAAAAGTGTACTTACACTTCTAAGTTTGGACTAGATTATGTATACTCTAAAGGTATTACGCAATTCATGAGGTGTGGTTCAAACGGCTGACTAGAAGCAGTTAGTGGGCACTTCTCTCATGAAGAACAATCAAAATAGCAAGTAAATATTAACATTTGAGTAGACCATTGAAAAGAGCACTTTGGAATTCATCAGAGAAGTGACAGGAATCAGGGAAAGCAGAGAAGAGTGAAGTAAGGCAGCCTGCTGAGCTGGGTCTAGCGTGGAGCCAGGAGAGCCTCCCTGTCACAGTGAAGGAATGAGTGAGTGAGAGACCCACAGGGTCTCACCCTTCCATCATGGACTTTTACAATCTTAGCCATAGGGGAGCCGTCTCGACCCTTACCTTCACCATTCAGAATAACACAGAGAGCTGCTTGGAGACTTTGCAAAGGAACTACTCAAACCCACATGGAGTCACGCAGGCTTTTGATCCCTAAGCAGCTGCAAGTAGGTGCCAGCTGCCACTGTTGTGCCAGGGAGGGAGCAGAGAGGTCAGGCATTTTTGCACACCCCAAAGCCAGTCACTTCTGTCACTGCTGTGGGACGAAAGAGTGTGAAGACTGTGCACCCCATGACTGCCTGCTTCTGCTGCTCCCTGCTAAGTGGGGGCTGCCTTCCCTGTTATCAAATCCTCAGCGCAGCTGCTGTGCTACCATCTGAGCATTGTGGCTGTGGCTCAGCATTCTTCTGAGAGCCCAGCCCCTAGAGGATCATGATCTACCCTTCAGGTACCACAGCATTTATTGCTTCCACCATTACTGTCACCCTTGCCACTGCCAGGCCAGGGATGGAGTAGAGAAACTGGGCACCTTGACACACCCCAACAGCAAAATCCACCATCACTTCTGTGGCACAAAAGTGCAAGTGAGCTGCATGCCCCATAGCTGCTAGCTTCCATTGCTCCTGCTGAAGAGGGCCTACTCTCCCCAGTAACATACCTGCAGAGTAGCTTCTCTGCCCTTGCCTGATCACTGTGGTAAAGGCCTGGCCCCGTGTTGAAAGCCTAGCCTCTGGAGGCCTGCATTCTATGCTGGGATCCAGCCACATCAATGCTGCCATAGTCACTTCCAGAACAGGAAGGGAGTGAAAGATTGGGCACCTCTGTGTCCCCAGATAAAGGATACTGCCACTGCTCCTGTGGGAGAAAAGCACTAGTGGGCCATGAGCCCCATAGGTGTCTGCCTCCACTGCCACTGCTCCCACCAAGTAGGCCCTGACTTCCCCAGTGAAAGGTTCCTACCTGATCATTTTGGTTGCGACTCAGAGCCTTCCTGACAACCCAGCCCCTACAGGCCTGCAATGTACCCTGGGGCTCCCACATCTTGAGCATCCTGACACTACAAGAGCATTCTACCTGCCCTTACCTTGGAGTTCTGCTGGTGACCAGGGGACTAGCCCACCCCTCCCTATTGCAGTTAGCACCTGAATTTGAGGGACCTGAGAATAAGTCTGCTGTCCTGGTCTCAGTCCAGTTTCAACAAGACTTGTACACAACAACCAGTGGGCTACCTAGGGGCCTGTGGAGTAGGGGATTGCCTAGCCCAGTCCACCACAACTGGCACCTTGTCTCCTCCCCTGGGATCTGAGGTCAAGCCAACACAATCAGCCAACACCACATCTGACACCCACACATATACTGAAGGATGGAGCCCCTGCCCCTCTGTACATGAAGCAGCAGCATCAGAACAGGCAAGTTATAAAGCTGTCCATATTGGGCTTGGTAAAGAGGTTCCACACTGAAGCCATTCCCATGGAGAACCACAGAACAGATGGTTTCCATGTCTCTCAACTACACTGTGACCTGGTGACAGACAACATTGTATGTCTGAACTGAGAGTCACAAGCCATGGGACACAGATGTGATAGGAAAACAGAGTGCATTCCTGCCTTTCTGGGATGTGGAGCTGATGCAGCTGCCTCTCTTACCTCCCACAAAGACTTTGGTATATTTTACCAGGAGCTCCCCCAGCCATCCCTATCAGAGATGGTTACTGTGCTCATCACTGGTGTATTCATGGGTGAGCCAGGTGGTCCACCTCTGCCCCGGTCTCCCACCTTTCCTAGCTGAACAGAAAACTCAGAGTGCCAGGCATTTTGTTATCTAGCCCATCACTTGAAACAACAGAGAACACTTCACAGTAAACAAAAGTACATACTTATCTGCCTTTGCCAGAGCTGGCTTTTACCCATAAGCACCACCTACTGGCCTGAATGTTGAACTGCACAACCCAATATATATAATCTGCCAACATAATGTTCACAGGGCTATAGAAGCAAAGCTGAAAGACCCTACCCAATGTGCTCCACAGTCACACCCTCCGGGGGCGTGGGGGGAATTTCTATCCAAATGACAGTGAATTCAAAAACAAGAAGTGGCCGTTCCTCCAGATGAGAAGAAACCAGGATAAGAACACTGAATGTAGTGAGGTATTACTGAAAGATTACAGTAGCTGTCTAGCAATAGACTTTAACCAAAATGAAGATTCTTAAATGATAAAGAATTCAAAGTATATATTGTAAGGAAACTTAATGAGATCCAAGAGAAGGTTCAAAACCAACATAAGGAAATCAGAAAAGTAACTGAGAAAATTAAGAAAAGACAGAGATCTTAAAATAAAAAACAGAACTTCTGGAAATGAAAAATTTACTGAAGGAATTTCAAAATACAGTTGAAAGCTTTAAAAATAGCCTAGATGAAACAAAAGAGAGCATTTCAGAGCTTGAAGAATGGTCTTTTGAATTAACCCAGTCAGACAAAAAAAAGAAAAAAGAAATTTTAAAATGGACAAAGATTTTGAGGAACATGAGATTATGTAAAGCAATCAAATTTATGACTTATCAGCATTCCTGAAGGAGGAAAAAATTTTAAAAGCTTGAAAAACATATTTGAAATAATAATTCAGGAAATGTCCCTGATTTTACTGGAGATATAAACATCTGGATACAAGAAATTTGAAGAACACCTTGAAGGTGCTATACTAGATGAATATCACCAGAGAATATAGCCATCAAACTATTCAAGGTCAAAGTGTAAGAAAAGAAAATAAAAAAAACAAAACCTAAAAGCAGCTAGAGGGAAGCATCAAATCACCCATGAAGAAAATATCATCAGACGGTGGACCTCTCAGAAGAAACCTTAAAGGTCAAAGTTACTAGGATCCTACTTTTAGTATTCTTAAGAAAATAATTGCCAGCTAAGAGTTTTGTAACCTGCAAAACTAAGCTTTATAAATAAAGGAAAACAAATTATTTCCCAGACAAGCAAATTCTAAGAGAATTTATTACCACTAGACTGGTCCTACAAGAAATGCTCAAAGGACTTTTAAACATAGAAATGAAAAAATGATATTCATCATCATGAAAGCATATGTAAATATATATGATTCTATGAAGCAATTAAACAATTGAGACTGTAAGGAAACTAGCTAAGAACACTATGACAGGAACGGAAGTTGATGTATCAATATTAACCTTAAATGCAAATGGCCTAAATGCTTCATGTACAAAATAGACTGACAAATTAGGTTAAAAAAATAAATAAAACACAACCACCTGCTACCTACAAGCTACTCATCTAATGGGTAACAACAACTATAGACTCACAGTAAAGGGGTAGAAAAAGCTTTATGACTCAAAAGGAAAATAAAAATAAGCAGGAGTAGCCATCGTTATATCATATAAAACAGAATTTAAATCAACAGCAGTTATAAAAAAAGACAACTACATTATACAATTATAAAGAGTTCACTTCAACAAAAACTTTTAACTATCCTAAGTATATATGCACCTAACACCAAAACACCAAGACATAAAACAAATACTATTAGACCTAAGAAACCAGAGAGACAGCAATGCAATAATGTTGAGGGAGGTCATCACCTCATTGACAACACTGGATAGATCATTGAGGCAGAAAATCAACAAAGAAAATTTGGACTTAAAGTAGACTCTAGCTAAATGGACTTAATAGATATTTACAGAACATTTAACCCAACAACTGCAGAATATAAGTGTTGTTGTTGTTTTTTTAATCCGCACATGGAACATTCTCCAAAATTGACCATATGGTTGGTCATACAGCATGTCTCAATAAATGTAAAAAATCAGAATCATATCAAGTATCTTCTTGTTCCACACTGGAATAAAATTAGAAGTTACTACTAAGAAGAACTCTCAGAATGACAGAAGTACATGGAAACTAAACAACTAGCTCCTGAATGATCTTTGGGTAAACAATGAAATTAAGGTAGAAATTTAATTTATTTTAAATAAATGAAAACAGAGACACAACATACCAAAACTCCTGGGATACAGAAAAAAACAGTGCCAAGAGAAAAGTTTATAGCCTTAAATGTCTATATCAGAAAGATAGAAATGTATTAAATTAACAACCTAACATCACAACTCAAGGAACTAAAAACATAAGACTAAACTGAACCGAAAGCTAACAGAAGAAAAGAAATAACAAAGGTCAGAGCAAAGCTCAATAAGATTGGGGCAAAAAGTGATAAAAAGGATCAATGAAAAGAAAAGTTGGTTGTTTGAAAGGATAAACAAAGTTGATAGTCACTAGGAAGTTTAAACAAGCAAAAAAATAGAAGCTTCAAATAAGCATAATCAGAAACAATAAAGGTTACATTGCAATTGGTACCATATAAACAAAAATAGACCCTCAGAAACTACCATGAACATCTCTATGTGCACAACCTAGAAAACTGTGAGGAATGGATAAAGTGCTGGAAACACAACTTCCCAAAATTGAGCGAGGAAGAAGTGGAAATCTTGAACAAACCAATAACAAGTAATAAAATTTAATCAGTAATTAAAAATCCCCTAAGGAAAAAAAAAAAAAAACAAGGACCGGACAAATTCACAGCTCAGTTTTACCAGACATATAAAGAAGGGTTACCAATCTTACTGACTATTCTAAAAAATTGAGGAAGTGGGATTCCTCTCTAACTTATTCTATGAAACCAGTATCACCCTGATAATGGTAAAGACAAAATAAGAAGATAAAAAACTTCAGGGTAATATCCCTGACGAACATAGATATAACATTCTTCAACAAAGTAATAGCCAATTAAATTCAATAGCACATCAATGAGCTAATACATTATAATCAAGTGGGTTTTATTCAAGGGATGCAAGGATGGTTCAACATATGCAAATGAATAAATATGATTCATCACCTAAAAATACTAAACATGAAAACTATATGATCATCTCAATAGATTAAAAAATCATTCAATAAATTCAGTATTTCTTTAAGATAAAAACTCTCTACAAACTAAGCATCAGAGAAACATATGTCAAAATAATAAAAGCTGTCTATGACAAACTCACAGTAAAAAATCCTACTGAATAGAGAAAGTTGAAAGCATTTCTGTTAAGTATTGGAACAAGACAAGTATGGTCACTCTCATGATTTCTATTCACCACAGTATTGGATGCTGTAGCCAGGGCAATCAAGCAAGAGAAAGAAATAAAAAGCATCCAAATTGTGAAGACAAAGTTAAATTATCTCTGTTCACAGATGACATGTTCTTTTGCCCAGAAAACCCTGAAGATCCCTTCCAAAGACTGTTAGACTTGATAATTACTTCAGTAAATATTCAGAACACAAAATTGATGTAAAAAATCAATAGCATTTCTATACACGAATAACATTCAAGCTAAGAACCAAATCAAGAGCTCAATCCCATTTACAATAGCCCCCCAGATAATAAAATACTCAGGAATACATTTAAACAAGGAGGTAAAAGATCTCTACAAGGAGAGCTACAAAACATTGATGAAAGGATTCATAAATGACACAAACAAATGGAAAACATTCAATGCTTAGAGATTGAAAGAAACAATATCATTAAAATGACCATATAGCCTGAAGCAATTTATATTCAACATAATTCCTATCAAATTGCCAATGCAATTTTCTTGGAATGAAAAAAAAATCAGTTCTAAAATTTGTGTGCACTCGAAAAGAAGCCCAAACAGCCAAAACAATCCTAAGCAAAGAGAACAAAACTGGAGGCATCTTATTACCTGACTTCAAATTGTAATACAATTCTATATAACCAAAACAGCATGGGACTGGTATAAAAATAGACACAATGACCAATGAAATGGAATAGAGAACCCATAAAGAAAGTCACATACTTACAAGCAACAGATCTTTAACCAAGTTGGCAAAAATAAACAATGGGGGAAAAGACATTCCATTTAATAAATGGTGCTGGGAAAATTCAATTACAATATGTGAAAGAATGAAACTGGACTCCTATCTCTCACCATGTAAAAAGTTTACTCAATGTGTGTTAAACACTTAAATATAAGACCTCAAGCTATAAAAATTCTCGAAGAAAATCTAGGAAATACTCTTCTGGAACTCGGCCTAAGTAAATAATTAATGACTAAGACCTCAAAAGCAAATGCAACAAGAAGAAATGTAGACAAATGGGACTTAATTAAAAAGAAGTTTCTCCCCAGCAAAAGAAATAATCAAGAGAATAAACCCAAACGCCTACATAATGGGAGAAAATATTTGCAAGCTACACATCTAACACAAGACTAACATCCAGAATGTACAAGAAACTCAAACAACCCAATGAGAAAAATAAATAATCTCATTAAAAAGTGGAAAAAGAACATGAACAGAAATTCTCAAAAGACAAATAAGTGGCCCACAAACATGAAAAAATGCTCAACATCACTAATCATCTGAATAATACAAATTAAAAACACAATTAGACACCACCTTATACAAGTTAGAATGGCTACTATTAAAAAGTAAAAAACAAACAAAAAACCCCCCAAAAAACAAAAACAGATATTGGCAAGGATGAGGAGGCTATAGAACACCTGTACACTTTTGGTGGGAATCTAAATTGGTACAACCTCTATGGAAAGACAATATGGAAATTTCTCAAAGAGCTAAAAGTGGAACTGTCATTTGACCCAGTAATCTCACTACTGCTTACATATATCCAAAGGAAAAGAAATCACTATATAAAAGACACCTGCACTCAGATGTTTATCAAAGGATAATAGGAAAAAAAGTGGTGTGTGTGTGTGTGTGTGTGTGTGTGTGTATATATAAAATGGACTAGTAATCTGCCATAAAAAAGAATAAAATGTGTCTTTTGCAGCAACATGGATGGAACTGCCTTCAGTTCCATTATACTAAGTGAAATAACTCAGAAACAGAAAGTCAAACACTGCATGTTCTCACTTCTAAGTGTGAGATAAATAATAGGTAAATATGGACATACAGAGTAGAATAAAAGACATTTGAGAATCTAAAAGGTGAAAGGAAAGGAAGGGAGTGAGGGATGACAAATTACCTATTTGGTCCAATGTTCGCTATTTGAGTGATCAGTACAGCAGAAGCCCAAACTTCACCATTATGCATTATATCCATGTAACAAATCTACACTTGTACCCCCTGAATCTATAACAGAATAAATAAATAAACACCCTTTAAAGAAACCTTGTCATCATCTATTCATTTTTATAAGAATTGATATTCAATAATGTAACTGAATCAGCTAGAATCTAAAGTTTTCTATGAGCTATGTATTGAAATAAAAAGCAATTCATTATTTTATTGTTTAATGAGTCTAGGTCAAAAATACAGAAAGAAGCAAATGAGTTTGATAGCTAAATTTATCATTAATCTTGTCCTTAATCTCACCCAAACTAACCTGTTCTTACTCAACAGTTGGTCTGTTTCTAATAAGCATTTTCTTTTCTTTTTTTTTTTTTTTTTTTTTTTTTGAGACGGAGTTTTGCTCTGTCGCCCAGGCTGGAGTGCAGTGGCGCGATCTCGACTCACTGCAAGCTCCGCCTCCCGGGTTCACGCCATTCTCCTGCCTCAGCCTTCCGTGTAGCTGGGACTACAGGCACGCGCCACCATGCCCGGCTAATTTTTGTATTTTTAGTAGAGACGGGGTTTCACCGTGTTAGCCAGGATGGTCTCGATCTCCTGACCTCGTGATCCGCCCGTCTCGGCCTCCCAAAGTGCTGGGATTACAGGCGTGAGCCACCGCGCCCGGCCCTAATAAGCATTTTCTTATTCCATCCCCATTGTCTTAATTTGCTTCAGCCTTTGTCCTTATTTGTAAGGGCACTGAATGCATTTCAATGCATAGATTTGTTATCCAGTTAGACTGCAGTTCCTGTAGACTGAGAGCTACTTTGTCTTTTTTTTCTTTTCGGTTTCTTCCCACAGAGCACTAAAAAGGGCAAGTCTGTCTTCACAGGAGAATCCACAAATAAATGTTGGTGATTGAATAGCTCCAAAAATATTAAAAGTTTTTTTAATTGCCTGTTATTATTTTAAACTAACTTATCATGTAACATATAATCATACAGCTCCTCCAGAGGCAGCAAGGCTAAATAAGAATCTATTTCTTAGCATGATAATGTTTCCAGTTTATTTGCATATTTTACTCCTGATACATTTTCTTTTACAAATCCTCTTTTACAGCAAACTTAAGCCATTTCTAATATACCTGGCTATTTCTATAGTGAAATAGAAAAGCAACTTTTGGGGCGACTTTGGTTGTTCTTCTACACATAATAAAAATTTAGATATCTCTAGAGCCTTCATTTCTAAAATTTTGTTAATAGTTTGTTTAAAATATCTTGTATTGGATTTGATGATCTATTTTCAATTCTTGTATCTTTCTTCTTATAAATAATATCTAAATACAACTCTGATATCTTGCCTCTTTTGAGAGTCTAAAAATCAGGGTTGTTGATCTGAGAAGACCTCTAGACTGTCTTCTCCCATTTTGTTTTTTATAAAACAAGGTCTATTTTTACCTCTTTTTCTCCTAAAAACAGTGTGGATTTCTTATTGTTTCCTAAGGTCGTATGCTTGTGAAACTTATAAAACTAGGAGACAATATAATCTTAAGTTTTTATTTATGGTTCTATTGCAAATACTGTGGACATGAGTCAATATCTATTTTTAAATAAGTGGATTGAAATAAATAACATAGTAAAGAGCTTTGAACTCACACACAATTTGGAAGTATGCAATTGATAACAGATACAATTAACTAGATCACGATAAAAACATCAATGTAGATATTTGAGGGACTATTTTCCTATGTAATTGTAATGTTTTAATGGTAAATTATATATAGTGCATACAGCATACTCAGTATATTTTTCAAGTCACATTATTTTTTAAATGTGTTAAAATAATACACAATGAAACTATTACCTATAAGTGCTATTCAATTGTTCTCAGTAGATATTGCTTATATAAAGCCAAAAGTAGAATCAACAGAGCTGATTTTGTGAAAAAAAAAAAAAAATGAAATAAAGATATTAGAATCATATACCTAAGATAAATAATTTGCATTTTATAACACATCAAAGGCAAAACCATAGCACAATAATCTCAAATTTTTGAGATAGTTTGCACTTCAAATTCTATACTTTATAAGATTTTCATCATGAAATAAAAATGCCCATGAAATTGAAAGTAGGCTATTAATTTTTCTCCATTTTCCCGTGTGTAAAATTTTTTTTCCATATGAGAGTTTAAGTATTTAAAGTCAAGGATTTAAAAATATCAACCTCTACATATACAATTAATATTTGCTAATTAAACCTTGAATATTATTGACAAATTTAGTGAAATTTACAATAATTACTATTCTTGTATTTGACATTACCGAGGAGCTACATATTGCTTACATAAAGAAAAGTTACTCTACTGTTACAGAAAGGACATTTGAAATCACTTGTCATTTCTGCCATCAATCAC